>NC_000007.14:153549288-153700804 GCF_000001405.40 Homo sapiens
ATAAGAGTATTTATTAATAACCCATCTTTTTTTAACCCATTCCTTAAAAAACTAACTTTTCCATACACTAAATACCCTTACATACTAGGGCCAAACAGAAATATGTGTCAGGAGATTTTTATAGGTGAATTTTGATGGAAACAATTGTTAAAATAATGTATCATCTAGTTAGGCATTTGGGATTCCACTTCTGAATATTCTGGACTCCTACCAGCTCACAGGGAGAAATAAGTAGCCACCCAGTGGCTGCAGAGAGTGTGGTGGCCTTCCTGGTGCTCAGTTATTGAACACTTGTTCACTGGGTGCCCAGTATGTGCCTGGTACTGTTTCAGGAACTATGGACGCATCGGTGTCTCAGACAAGCTCCCTGGCCTTCTCTGTAAGTTTACTCTAGAACAAAACCGCCACAGGTCTGCTGGGGCCCATAGATGATAAATGCATTCTGAGTTAATGGTTCCTAGCTTGTTGTCTTATATTACATTCCTAGTTGTGTGCTCCTGGAATGTTCTATCAGTTTGGGGGTATGGGTGGGGGCAGCAACACACCTTTACCACAACTCTGCTTTCGGGCAGTAAGAAAGAAGGGACACCTCACAGAAGATGGCATGCTCATGTCTCAGGATTTCCACATTATGGAAGTGGATGGATTTCTGAGACTCAGATGCCTAAGTCACACCTCATGAAACATTTTTTGAAGTTTTTCTTAAAAAAAAAAATCAGTGTTTCTCCTCCAGTCAGACTCCATCCTGTTTTCACTGCATTTCTGTTTGGAGATGTTGCTGAATTTCAAATCTCATAAAGCTTTTATTAGCATTTCCTGAGAGGATATTATGCAGATGATGAGAAATAAATAATGGGTTAAAATTTCTCCATATTAATATTTATTAACCTAGGTAATTTGAGTATATCTATTTTTGCCAGACCTAAGCAAATGAAACCGAACAGCTATCACAGGGCATTGGATATCACTCACTGGATATCACTGAGTTGGTCATGACAAGTAATGTAATTTATTGGCCAAGTTTTCCCCAAAGGGAAAGTTAGCAGCTGGGATGGTCCAAGTTGGCAGAAATGGAATAACTTGTAGGTAAGAAAGGCAGCTGACTCATCCTGTCTACTTATCTCTGCCTTCTCTGGGCTTGTCAGGACACACAGTTTATCTCATAATTATCTACTGTCTTGCTTAATTCATTATTTATTGGGAGTGTAAATTGTTATTTTTAACTAGATGTTATCTACTTCAGGAAAGGCTCAGTTTTGCTTTTTACCTCCTTCTATCCTTATTCAAATATCCCTAAGCAACAAGTTTAACTGTGAAGAGCACAAAAGATGATAATTAGTTTGATGTACGTATTGGTCAGCTTTTGCCACCTAGAAACCCACCCAAACACCTACTTCAAAAACCAGCAATTTATTTAGCTCCCAATCCAATGGGCTGGCAATCTGGGGGCTGAGCTCAGCTGAGCAGCTCTCCTGGTCTCAACTGGGCTTCCTCATGTGTCTGTGATCAGCTCCGTTCTGCCAGGAGGTTGTCTCTCCAGGGACTGGGAAGAAAGTGGAAATATGCAAGGTTCCTGAGGCCTTGGCTAGGCACTGTCACACCGTCCTCTCTTCTGTCACATTCTAATTGGCAAAATAAGTCACAAGGGCATCTCAGACTCAGTGGATTGGAAAATCAATGCCACCTTCTGATGAAATCCTTAGAAAGTCACACTGCACAGGGCGTGGGTACAGAAAGAGGAATAATTGCTGCCACTTTTCAATCTACCACATGTTGCAAATATATTTTTTTCCATGAATTATGACACACACACATTATACATAACTGAAATAATCTAAGCAAAGCCATTCTAGTGACTACTTTGTGTCAGAAGTGTGGATATGAAACGTGAAAACAATATAGGTGCTCTAGGGTTGCATGTGATGATAGCCTGACTTTTCCCTGCTCCTTCTGCATTTTCAAGCAAAGAAGTCATAAGAATGACTCCATCTTACTTTCAGAAGGATTATTTTTCCAGTACTAGGAAGGCTGGGATTTGGACAGTTCTACATCAGCCCTAAATACTGACCTTATAAGCCTGGCACAGCCAGGAATCTATGAAACAAAGGACCAACGACTTCCTCTATGCAGGTAGAAACTTGCCCAAACCAATTCCAAGCCTGCAAGCTTTGCTTACTGTATTTATTCTTAAAGACCTGTGATACTGTGGGGGAAAATTAAAGACTGTAGAGAGACAAAATGAGATTTGAATCCTTGAATAGTTAATTGTATGATGCATGGATAACTAATTTATTTCTCTGAGACTTCGTTTTCCTATAAGTAAAATGTGGGAATAACACCAGGCTTATTTGGAAGATGAAATCTACACCATGAACACAGCCACTGGCACATATTAGGCATCTGATAAATTTTCATTCCCATTCTTTGTCTACTTACATTGTCTCCTTTTGTTGCTATTGTTAAGGTTGAACATTTTATTTTCTTTAGAGATAGGTGGCAAGTCTATTGTCCCTTCATTTATCATTTGAGGGAAGAGAGAGGTCAAGGATCTTCTGTAGCTCAGCGCTAGTTTACGTTGTGTGCTCAGGTCATTGTGATCATCCAGGCAAGTCTACAGGCTGTCCTGAGCCAGCGTCTTCCCAGCACTGATAGCTATAATGTGACAGTGTCTAAATGTCCATTGCTGGAACCATTAGTTATTTGCTAAGAACGTTCTATAGAATCAGACATGATCCCACCTTTTTGGTAGAAAAGAGGGAGACCCTGCTAGCTTCTGGGTTATTTGGGGCCTTGATCAGCTGACACTGGCAGGGCAGGCAGTTATGTGGGCTTGCTTTAGGGCCAGGTGTAAGGACAGGCAGAGTGAAAGCTGCCTTCGTAGTATGATGTAAACAGTTCCCAGAAACCCACCTTGTCCCACTTCTCCTACCACCAGTTACATGGAATAGAGACACAGAAAGACAACTTCCTTTTAGTGTAAAATAGCACCAACCACCCAGCTCCCCAATGCAAACAATGTTTCTGTGTCTCCTTTTCTCATTTCCCAAATCCAGTAGTTAACCCCCAGGTCTTATCATTCCTATCCCTCAGCCATCATCTCCAGGGATCAGCTTGTGCTTATCTTCTTGTAGCACCTGCCGCACTGTTGAATAAATAAGCGCTTTATTAGCCAATCTCCCCAATTGTGTGGTTAAGTCTGTTGCGGGCAGGCTTTGAGTTTTATTCATAGCTGTGTCTTTAGTACTTGGCTCATGGGTAGGTCAGTACTTAGGCATATTAATCCACTCTTGTATTGCTATAAGAAAAACCTGAAACTGGGTAATTTATAAAGAAAATAGGTTTAATTAGCTCATGGTTATGCAGGCTGTACAGGAAGCGTAGTGACACCTGCTTCTGCGGAGACCTCAGGAAGATTCCAATCACGGCAGAAGGCACAGGGGGAGCAGGCACGTCACATGGCAGGAGCGGGAGCAAGAGAGAGAAGTGGTGGGGAGGTGCCACACACTTTTAAATGACCAGACCTTGCCAGAAGTCACTTACTGTGGTAAGGACAGCACCACATGGCAAATTCCCTGCCATGATTCAATCACCTCCTACCAGGCTTCACCTCCAACATTGGGGATCATATGTTGATGTGAGATTTGGGCAGGAACAGCATCCAAACTATATCACCAGCTCATAGCAGCTGCTTCAGTTATGTCCATAGAGTAAACCAATTACTCATAGCTTTTGGCTAAGTCATTATTTCATTAAAATACTAGTGTGTTAATTGATTGGGTAGGGAATGCTTTAAATCCTGATACAAACAAATCACTTCCACTCTACCATCTTTAAGATAGTTCTTATGTATATAGAGGACACAGTATAACGAATTGAGGTAGTAGGCTGAGCGTTTTCTCCAATACACAAATAGTAATCGTGTTCGCAAATTATCTTCACATGGTACTTACATCTTAGGAGACGTTTACAATATTTGCACACATTGCTTTTTAAGTCTTTTGTGCATTAGAGAAGCTTACCAATTAGCATCTAATATTTTCCTGGGCAAGACCAGTTTGCGTGTGGGGCCAAAATTGGTTTTGTAAGTGGCCTCTGTCCAAATCTGTGAGCAGAGAAAGGAAGTGGAGAAAGGTCAGATATAATTCCATTGTGAAGACTAAGCCATTTGAATTATAACTTGTGTTTTCTCAGTTGTTTTCATATCAGTAATTGCTGAGAAACACATTGAGCTTTAAAAGAGTTAAATACCACACCGCCCTACCTCCACACACACACACAAAAACCAGCTGTCCGAACCGTTTGCGTGACAGTTGTTTACACACACCCACAGGGGCACTGGAGATGTGTAGTGTTAAGGAGATGGCTCTAAGTGTAAAGTCAGCAGGTTTGGAGTCTGGTCCCAGCTCTGTCATTCTTTAGCTGTGCCATTTCGGGAGAGTCACAGGCTCTTGGTCTCTTCCTCTCTGATCTTTTGGAGCTGGACTGTGATGACTAAGAGTGTATTTCACACTTCTGGGTTCCTATTAGGGAACCCAGGGAATATTCTTCAGAGGAGGCAACACCAGTGCTGGGGCAAAGTAAGACCTTCCTGACAGAGATGCTAGGAATAGCGAAATCATTTATACACAGGTGGGCAAACAAAACTTCCATACGTTTCTCCCTGGCCTCTGGACATTTTTGAGAGTCTCTGCACAAGAAAAATTCCCCTAGTTCCCATGTGAATGAGGGCTGTAGCCATTTCATTCCTCTGCTTTTGTTTTGTTTTGTTTTTATGGCCCAGGAGAACCAAATGGTTAAAGCCTTAACTCAGTCCCCAAGTTAACCTCCCAGGTGCCAGGACACTGAGCTATCTCCCTAGGTATTCACATTTCAGAAGGTAAGAAGCACAGCACCCCGGGGATCCTCAGGCCTTGGAAAGGTGTCTTTACATACCAAAGGGTTGGAATAAGGACTACATTTTCAAGGAGACCATTCCAGGAAGGGAGAGGAATTGCGGCCTTCTTTCCCCATGTGAGCAGAGAAAAATAATGATTCTTGATCACTCACCTCTGGGGTGTCTGATTACTCAGGTAGTCAAAATTCTCATGGGCTCTTATCACAGGAAGGCTAACATACTTGCTATTTACTATTTCTTTAAGAAGAAATCAGGATTAAATGAGTAAAGATGAATATTAAAAACCCAACCAGAGGCCAGGAACGGTGGCTCACACCTGTAATCCCAACACTTTGGGAGGCCGAGGTGGGCAGATCACTTGAGGTCAGGAGTTTGAGACCAGCCTGGCCCATATGGTGAAATCCCGTCTCTACTAAAAGTACAAAAATTAGTCGGACATTATGGCATGTGCCTATAATCCCAGCTACTTGGGAGACTGAGGCAAGAGAATCGCTCGAACTCAGGAGGCAGAGGTTGCAGTGAGCCAAGATCATGCCATTGCACTCCAGCCTGGAGAAAAAGAGCAAAACTCCATCTTAAAAAATAAAATAATAACAATAATAATAATAATAATTAATTAAAAAATAAAAACCCAACCAGAAGATCTCCAGTGCAGTGCCTGCCACTTAGGAGCACTGGTTATTGTCACTTTTCTCCCCATGCCTCTACATTTTGGCCAGTGCAGGGTTGGCACACAGTAGGTGCTCCAGTTGTTAAGCGAGTTAGACTGGCCTTGTCCTTCAGGCCAAGGATACTGAGAGCAAATGACTGAGTGACAGAGGGGTCATGGGCAGAGTCATAACTTTCTCTTTCTCATAATTTCTCTCCAAACACACTGCTTGGAGCTTGTCGCAATGGAGTGCATGGTTTTGATTAACATAACTGCACTCAGTCTATGTAGATATATAATTTTTAGGACAAGTAAGTTGCATAGTCTTGTTTTGCTGTTTTCCTCTATGGTTCCTGGGAATTCTGACCAGCAAAGTGTTATTCAGGTAGCACAAGTTCATCACCTCCTAGGTCATGGTCATATCCAGATGACTTCCCTGAGTGTACCCTCCAAACACAGGCTTAGTGGCAAGCGTTGCAGTACCACCACCAATGCATGGGATAGCAAGCCCTCCTGGAATGATTGGCACTCATTCTCTTCCAAGCAGGGGGTCTGAGTGGACCTGTTAGGGCTGACGTCCACAAAAAAGCAGAGAAGCATCTGCCAGCTCCAGTGAGGACACTCCCAGGGAAGGATGGAGGTGGCTTACTGCAGTTTAAACTATGAGAACTCACTCTAAAAACAGATGTAAACAGGGCTAATATTCTGCTTCCTGTGTTGTGACCTCTGCTTCCACATTTAGGTTTCTTTTGGCACCACTTTCCTTAGGTAATTTCTCTCCATAAAGTCCTGTAGAGAGGGTATGGAGTTTTGCTCTTGTCGCCCAGGCTGGAGTGTGGTGGTGTAATTTCGGCTTACTGCAACCTCCATCTCCTGGGTTCAAGCGATTCTCCTGCCTCAGCCTCCTCAGTAGCTGGGATTACAGGCACCTGCCACCACGCCCAGCTAATTTTTCTATTTTTAGTACAGACAGGATTTCTCCATGTTGGCCAGGCTGGTCTTAAACTTCTGACCTCAGGTGATCCACCCGCCTCAGCCTCCCAAAGTGCTGGGATTATAGGCGTGAGCCACCTTGCCCAGCCTGTAATCTTATTTTTTATATATATATATATATATATATATATATATATATATATATATATATATATATATGAAACTTTATTATATATATATATGAAACTTTATTTCATATATATATAATCTCCAACTTTATTTCTAGTTTATCAATATGCCGATTTTTAAATTCATCAATATGCCCATCATGATTCTTTCTGAGAAACATTGAACATGGATTCTTCTTCTTAACTCTCTCAAGTTCCTCCTCCCTGTGGCCCAGCACTCTGGCCAGCATCCTCCCCCACCCCGCACTGTCTTCCCCTCCCCTACCTTGCCCTCACTGGCCCAGGGTGCTTGTTCATCTCCCCTTCTTCCTCTTCAAACCTGACTCCTTCTTCAAGACTCAGCTCTAGCTCTATGTAGAAGATGAAGCCCCTCCTTGACCCTTCCTCCCTTCAAATTCTCTACATCTCTTTAATCTATGTTGTAGAATTTAGCACCTAATTATATTCTGACTTCAATTATTTATAGTTGTTACATGCAAATAGTGGTAAACGATGCCTCATACCACAGTGACCTACTTGTGCCCGCCACCTGATGCTTTATCCACATTAGGCACTTAATTAATGTGGACTGAGTGACTGGCCCATGGATTGATAGCAAGCACTTAGCAAAACCTTGACCTGATGTTTTACAAGACTCTTTATTGTGCATTTTATTCAGACCACTGAAAATGCAGCGAAAGGGGCACTTATGCCTGACTTCAAAAAGATTGGTAGAAATGATGCTTTTCCCAAGAGCATTACTCCCCCTTACAGCATATCTGTTTCAGTATCTGTTTTGGGAATTTCAAAGTGATTTGTTATCTGTTTGTGAGATTTCTATCCATCCAGGGCTTGGCACCTAAAATGGGCACATCTATGAAATATCAAAGGAAGAATAATTTCAAACCACATGAGATATTCTCACAAGTTGGGTAAATTGCACATCCTTAGGGCACTTGGTCCCTTAGATCGGTTATTTATGTTTTACATAATTTATTTCAA
This sequence comes from Homo sapiens, assembly GCF_000001405.40. NCBI lineage: Eukaryota > Metazoa > Chordata > Mammalia > Primates > Hominidae > Homo > Homo sapiens. Next base: position 153,556,934 of record NC_000007.14, read on the forward strand.
GTACAGGTTTTTAGCATATACTTTCAAGCATTTTGGAAATATTCTTTAACAGTCACTATTCTAGTCAATTGATTTTAAGTCAGAAAATATGTCCTTGGTCCCCACGATGCTCCAGCTGCTGTGCTGGGAGTTAGGAACAGAGACTTCAGCAGACGCATGGCTCCTGCTCTCAGGAAATTCACACGACGTTGGAGAGTCAGAAGGGTCTCCAAGAAAACTCAGTGCACATTGCAACTGCTTGACAGAGTGACAGCACATGCTGTGGCCATTGCGGGGACTCTGCTATGGCAGATCAGAGGGTGGTGGGTGGCTCCATCTCTGTCTGTCGGAGCTGGGCTTTGTGGCTGATGAAACTGTTCCCTATTAACAAGACGTTAAAACAACATTTATGGAAAATGCATCGTAGGTAGTAGGCGAGGTGCTTTCTTATGAAATGTGGGTTCTTGATTTTGACTGAACATCAGGGGAAACTGTCTTCAGTCAAAAAAAAAAAAAACACCAAAAAACCAGACTTGTCACTGCGTTAAGACAAAGCACTTAAAACCTCATCATATCTGTCCTACCATGGGGACAATGATGAGGAAGCCATTGGCACAAATTCACTGCATTCCTTCTGGGAAAGAGCTCTTCCACCTGCTGTGCACCTAAGCCTTTGCAGTCATGAACGCAAGTGCAATTGCAGGCAGGCCTCCAGCTCACCATCCTACCATCCCTCTGTTGTGAGCTCGGATGTGTTCTTCAGCCGGTCAAGGAATCATGGCTTGAAAAGAAGGGAAACTCTTAGGGCATTTGGGAACCAGAGGAGTAAGGTGGGGGTGAGGCCAGAAGGGAGGAGAACAGAGCTATGGGCAAAGGTTGGTTTTCCCGTTTCCTTTTCTAGTGTCTTCCTAGTAGAGTCTCCACATTAAGTAGTTTGTTGATTTTGTGGGCCCCTGGTGTGTTACTGGCCCACGTCACAGGGGAAGTGAGCAAAGCTGACCAGAAGGGCAAAGCTCCTTGAAGCTCTTTCCAATGGGCTTCCCTGCATGTCCCATATCCCTCCAACCCCAGACACCAGCACCTTCTGCTTCTGTAATCCAGTAGTCAACAAGGAGAATATCTGATGTAACCACTTCAGAGTGAGGCCTAAGCAACTCTCTGTGTTACCCTCCCAGGGTCAACATGGCCTATTTGTGAGAGTAACATAATATTGGTGAGATGTGTGGCAGTGGAAACCCTTTAACACTGTCTACCTCATTTGCAGCTTATTGTCACATGGAGGAGTATGGAATGCAGACATGACTGTCACTATTCTGTGTATGGGTAAACTGAGGTGCTGGTGGTCACAGGCCACCTATAACCCTGTTGGAAACATTTTCACTGTATTACAGCTCATTCCCACAATTCATTAAGGCACAGACAAGATTATTTTTGCTTTTAACTGTTTTTTTTTTTAATTTCAGCTTTTACTTTGCATTCAGGGAGGACATGGGCAGCTTTGTTATATGAGTATATTGCATGATACTGAGGTTTGTGGTACAAATGATTCTGTCATCCAGGTTGTGAATAGTAACATACAGTAGGCAGTTTTTCAGCTCTTCCCCCCTTGCTCCCTCTCTCTTACCTTTGTGGTCCACAGTGTCTATCGCTCCCATCTTTATGTTCATGTGTACCCAGTGTTTAGGTCCCACTTATAAGTAAGAATATGCAGTATCTGATTTTCTGCTTCTGAATTAATTTGCTTAGGATAACAGCCTCCAGCTACATTCATGTTGCTGCAAAAGACATGATTATGTTTTTTTAATGGCTGTATAGTATTTCATGGCGTATATATACCATATTTTCTTTATCCAATCCACTATTGATGGGCATCTGTGTTGATTTCATGTCTTTGCTATTATGAATAGTACTGCGATGAACATATGAAAAGGTGCTGATGTTGACATTGGCCTGTGGGAGGCACAGGGAAAGCCTTCGGCTCACACCTCGGAGTCACTATCACTAAGTAGAGGCTCAAATGGAACCTGTTCTCCTACGGCTAATGAAGACAACTGCCCATGTGATGTCTCCTGTAGTTCATAATGAGACGATGTATTAGTCTGTGTTCACACTGCTGATAAAGACATATCCAAGACTGGGAAGAAAAAGAGTTTAATTGGACTTACAGTTCACATGGCTGGGGAGGCCTCAGAATCAGGGCGGGAGGTGAAAGGCACTTCTTACATGGCGGCAACAAGAGAAAAATGAGGAAGATGTGAAAGTAGAAAGCCCTGATAAAACCATTCAATCTCATGAGACTTATTACCACAAGAACAGTATGGGGGAAACTGCCCCCATGATTCAAATTATCTCCCACAGGGTCCCTCCCACAACATGTGGGAATTATGGGAGTAAAATTCAAGATGAGATTTGGGTGGGGACACAGAACCATATCATTCTGCCCCTGGCCCCTCCAAATCTCATGTCCTCATATTTCAAAACCAATCATGCCTTCCCAGCAGTCCCCCAAAGTCTTAACTCATTTCAGCATTAGCCCAAAACTCCACAGTCCAAAGTCTCATCTGAGTACCTTTTGCCTGTGAGCTTGTAAAATCGAAAGCAAGCTAGTTACTTTCTACATACAATGCGGGTACAGGTATTGGGTAAAAATGGCTGTTCCAAATGGGAGAAATTGGCCAAAACAAAGGGATTACAGGGCCCATGCAAGTCTGAAATCCAGTAGGGTAGTCAAATTTTAAGGCTCCAAAATGATCTCCTTTGACTCCATGTCTCACATCCAGGTTACGCTGATGCAAGAGGTAGGTTCCTATAGTCTTGGGAAGCTCTACCCTTGTGGCTTTGCAGGGTATAGCCCCCTCCCAGTTGCTTTCACAGGCTGGCATTGAGTGTCTGTGGCTTTTCCAGATGCACAGTGAAAGCTGTTGGTGGATCTACTACTCTGGGGTCTGGAGGACAGTGGCCCTATTCTCACAGCTTCACTAGGCGGTGCCCCAGTAGGGACTCTGTGTGGAGCCTCCAACTCCACATTTCCCTTCCACACTGCCCCAGCAGAAGTTCTCCATGAGGGCCCCACCCCAGCAGCAAACTTTTGCTTGGGCATCCAGACGTTTCCATACATCTTTTGAAATCTAGGTGGAGGTTCCCAGACCTCAATTCTTGACTTCTGTGCACCTGCAGGCTCAATACCACATGACAGCTGCCAAGGTGTTAGGCCTTGCACCCTCTGAAACCATGGACCAAACCGTACCTTGCCCCATTTTAGCAATAGCTGGAGCAGCTGGGATGCAGGGCATCCAGTCCCTAGGCTGCACACAGCATGGGACCCTGGGCTCAGCCCACAAAACCATTTTTTCCTCCTAGGCTTCCAAGTCTGTGGTGGGAGGGGTTGCTGTGAAGACCTCTGTCGTGCCCTTGAGACTTTTTTCCCATTTTCTTGGGAATTAACACTTGGCTCCTTGTTTCTTATGCAAATTTCTGCAGCCAGCTTGAATTTCTCCTCAAAAAATGTGTTTTTCTTTTCTACTGCATTGTCAGCCTGCAAAATTTCTGAACTTTTATGCTCTGTTTCCCTTTTAAAACTGAATACTTTTAACAGCACCCAAGCCACCTCTTGAATGCTTTGCTTCTTAGAAGTTTCTTCCACCGGATGCCCTAAATCATCTCTCTCAAGTTCAAAGTTCCACAAATCTCTAGGGCAGGGGCAAAATGCTGCCAGTCTCTTTGCTAAAACATAACAAGAGTCACCTTTGCTCCAGTTCCCAACAAGTTCCTTATCTCCATCTGAGACCACCGCAGCCTGGATTTCATCATCCATATCATTATCAGCATTTTGGCCAAAGCCATTCGACAAGTCTCTAGGGAGTTCCAGACTTTCCCACATGTTCCTGTCTTCTTCTGAGCCCTCCAAACTGTTCCAATCTCTGCCTGTTACCCAGTTCCAAAGTTGCTTCCACATTTTTGGGTATCTTTTCAGCAGCACCCCACTCTACTGGTACCAATTTACTATATTAGTTCATTTTCACACTGCTGATAATGACATACCCGAGACTGGGAAGAAAAAGAGGTTTAATTGGACTTACAGTTCACATGGCTGGTGAGGCCTCAGAATCATGGCAGGAGGTGAAAGACACTTCTTACATGGTGGTGGCAAGAGAAAAATGAGGAAGATGCAAAGGTAGAAATCCCTGATGAAACCGTCAGCTCTCATGAGACTTATTCACTATCACAAGGACAGTATGGGGGAAATGGCTCCCATGATTCAATTACCTCCCACCGCATCCCTCCCACAACACATGAAAATTATGGGTGTACAATTGAAGATGAGATTTGGGTGGGGACACAGAGTCAAACCATATCAGACCCCTTGTTGTGCTTCCAAATATTTAATAAAATAAAACCCCCCCAAAAAGAAGAAGAAAAGAAAAGGCAAGACAACCAGACTACTCAGTAGGCTGCTCAGAGCCACATGAGAGAAGATCATTTTCAAAATCGGCTTCTGCACATTTTCTCTTTGGATCCATTTTCCTTTCAGGGAAGAGCACCCTCATAGCAGAGTGGCCACCTTTGCTTGTTAAACACAAGAGCCAGGAAATCACTTTCCAACGCTACCCCCTGTTTAGTGCTCTGTTTAGTATTAACCAGAATCCTCTGAAAAATCATATGTAATCTCAGCATTCCCAAGAAGTATGTAGTTTTTGTTTTCTTGTTTCTCTTAAATTGTGTCATGGATGATAATATTCCTGCAAAACTTAGCAAGTGAAATAATTTCCTTAATAACCTTCCCCCTTTCTATCTAAGGAACAGTATTTCTTTTGTTAACAGGTTTATTAAAGGGCAATAATATTTGGCATTTCTTTCAGGACTTTTTCTTAAGATAAAGGATTTGAACCAAGAAAAGATAATGACCGTGGGAAAACCCTAGTGTGACTTCAGCCCCATTCAACACAAGGCATTAACCAAGCACCTACTGTGTGGGGTGCCAGATGAAGGCTAAAGTGGAGGTTAACACTGAGATGTGTGAGCCTCTGGTGATAGGACCTGGTTGTTTCTGTTGGCTGGGAACCAACCTCTCCTGTGAGAGATAGGGCAGCCTCTTCACATAGTGCATGGCCACCACAACTAAACATTTCTCTCTTATTTCTGCTTCCAAATTTCTATCATTTAAGCCATTATTTTCCGTTAAGGTGGAAAATACACTCCTTTTAAGCTGAAGCACCCCACCACTAGGAGGATGGCTCTTTTGAGATTTGCAGGGTCCCTCTCAGGTACCCCTCAGGCTTCCTCCTGCAGCCCCTGCTTACCGAGGGCATCTGCTGCTGAGGAAATCAGCTCCCGGCACCTGGTTTATGATCTAATGTACAAGATGCAACAGGGACGTGGGCTTCTGCGGGTATGAGTGCAATGAAATTCAAACACGACTTCCAAATCTGTTTCTTGATCCTAGTGTGTGGGTCAGCTCCAGGCCAGGAACAATGAAGGGAGAGATGAGCAAACAAATAAACAACAAAAACCGCCCAAAACAAACACACACACAAAACAAATAGAAATGAAGTCCATGTGCAAAGACTTGGCAGACACAGCCATTGAGCCAAAGGCTATTTTCCCCAAAGATGAATTCTTGCCTTCATAAGGCAAGGAATAGCAGCAGGCATTTACATAAAGCGAATAAACTGGCACTGTTAAGTTCCAGGACACGTCCTGGGGCTTAGCCTCCTTTCATTTATTCAGCCTAATTCCCACCGGTGACAGCTACCACCATGTTTAGGGCTGTGATGCCAGCATCCCAAAGGGTCACTGGATTTTGGCTTTGATGTCCCAACACAGAAGAGAAGATTCAAGCACTGTCAACAAAAATATTTGTCTAAAGACTAGATCAATCAAAATGTTCACTTAACCAGAAGGTCAACCTACTCAGGCCCCCATTTCTATATACCACAGATGCCTTTGGTTTTGAACAGTAGAAGTCTAACATCTCCAGTAAAGCCTCATTGCTAACTAGAAATTATCATGTCTCACAGGACAGCGCAATACAGAAAAAATGGCATTTTCCATTGACATAATTATTGTGGTTTATTTTCAGGGACATAAATTGTAACGATTCAACTGATAAATTTAATACAACTTAAAATTGCATGTAGTCACCATAGACGGTGGCATAAGCAAGGATCATTAGAGAAAATGCAAGTCTTTAGCCATTTCAAACTCCACACTGTTTTGTTGTTGTTGCTTTTAGTCCAAGGAGCATTGCTCAAATTAAATTTTAGGTGACATTATTAAAACAAGCTCTCTTTTTGTTTGTTTGTGCCTAAAGCTTTCTGTATCTGTGGCCATGACCCTATCATTGCCCCAGTCTCTTGGAGGGGTTTTGGGATGTTCTTAAGCATAACTTAATCCACTGGCTTAGCTTTGGAGAACTGTGAAGGACCTTTGAGATCATGGGTTCCAGAAAGGGGCTGCCAAATGGCATGGCCAGCTCTGCCACTTACAAGTAGTGGGACCTTGCAAGTTACCTCACTTCTCCGTTCCCATCTTACAACTAACAAGACGAAGTCACAGGGTTACGTGAGATTTCTCACGAAAGGACTAGGAAGCATCTCAACGAGATTAGGTGCTCAATAACTTTCCATTATTATTAAGGAGGAAAGAGGGATAAATATTTCAATGGCACAAAAGCTCCCAACAGCATGGGTCATTATGTGAGATGCAGTAAAAACACAACTTGATAGAGAGACTATCCCCTCTGGAAACTCCTAAGTTTCAAATTCTGTAAGTTTGAAATTGTTTAAAATTAGCAATGGTTACACATGAATAATAAAATGAATGGTTACACATGAAGTAATTTGTTACCTTCAAGTTGACATTTTTAAAATTTTATGTATACATTTTAAGGTGGCAGATAGATTTAACCAGATGTTTACTGCATTCCTTTTCACAGGATCTGTCTACAGGCTAAGACAAGCAAACATGCTTAAGTGAGACACATGACTAAGATATAAGACCACTCAGAAGCTCTTTGCAAGGAAGCCTTTAGGACCAGAAACTTGTGTTTCAGGAATGGAGATGTGAGTCCTTTGATTTTGGGTGTGCTCTCTGAGGTGTGCACACAAATCACAGAAGGTTTTGTTTTTGTTAGTCACTTTTGCAAGAGATTATAACCTATGAGTCACTGGCTCATTAATTAAACTTTAGAGCAACCCAGTGAAGTTCCAAAATGTTAACAAAAGTCACTGACACCAAGGGTAAGATGCTTGAGCTTTTTCATCTTTTCTTGTCCTACACAAAAGCATGAACAAGATGTCATTTAAGGATGTTAATAATCACAACTGTGAAGAGCTTGGGAAGAAGACTAACCACAGGAGCTCTTCTACCAGGAACCCACATCATGCACTGGGACATCTTGTCCACCCTTTGACCCAGTTTTCCCGTGAAGGAAATGGACATGATCCAGGATTCTAAGTGGAGACACAGCCCCTTGGAGGGAATAGCTACATTACAATAAGGTTTCTTTCTTTCCCACCACTCCTCTGATGTCCATTTGTCTCTGTGTAGAGAGAGGTCCCTTTAAAACCTCACTATAGAGAGCTTGGGGAGAGACGGCTTCTGTTTCTGTCTCCAGGCAGGCCTACTAGCAATGCTACATGAGCAGCAGAGCCCTGCACAGCACATTTCAACCGTGTCTAGCACCCTCACTCTCCTTTTCTGCTGTGTTTGTTCTGAATAGCATCATCGCTATCTGACATTATAAAACGTAGCTGTTTGTTCATGTTTTCATACTGTCTCTTTCCTCACTAGAATATAAGCTTTGGGAGAGTAGGGGTGTATTGTATTTGCTAATACCTAAGATGCTTGGTGCGCAGACACACACAATAAATCGTTTTTTAATATTGCCCTCATTCTTTCACTTGCAGTTTGATTGTGAGCCATTTGTCTATAGAATAAAGGGAGCCCATCCTTTGCTTTTTGATTGTTTGTTTTTGCTGAAATCAGAGCAAGTGCATTAGTCTAAGCAAAAAGGAGAGCCCGGGGACTTGGAAGAGTCTGTTGGGGAAAGAGAGAAGAGGCAAAGTGGTGATTTCCTCTTTTACATATTTTTCTGAGTGGAGAGGAATTTCTCTTGAATCTCAAGGAGGCTCATACAGTGGAAAGCCTTCTTCTGTCTATCTGGGTGGTCGGCCAGCCAGCGGGGCTCAGAGCAGCCTTGGCCAAACATTTGCAAAATAGGAAATTAATTTTTGAATTCTCTGAAACATTTTTCCTTTGTGAGAACTGTAGCAGCAACATATTTTAATTTGCATTTGAATATACTGCTTTTTAAAAATTATATCAGTTATCCTTTTAATAGTAGGTATATAAATCACTATAAAACCTACCATTAAAAAAGGAATTCAAAATTAAAAGCAAAATGAATACTTAGTATAGCCACTCTGGAGAATAGTATAGTGGTTCCTCAAAAAATTATAAGTAGAACTGACACATAATCCAGCAATTCCACTGCTGTGTATGTATCCAAAAGAAAGGGAATTAGTATATTAAAGAGATATCTCCACTCCACTGTGTGCTGCAGCACTCTTTACAACAGCCAAGACATGGAATCAACCTAAGTGTTCATCAGTGAATGAATGGATAAACACAATGTGGTACATGTACACAGTGGAATGTTATTTTTTTACTCAGCCATAAAAACAAATGAAATCTTGTCATTTGCAACAAGAATGAAACTGGATGACACTATGATAAGTGAAATAAGCCAGGCATGGAAAAGTATGTTGCATACTCTCGTTAATATGTGGGAGATAAAAAAAATTGAACTCATGAAGATATAGAATGGAACGATGACTACCAGAGGCTAGGAAGGGTGGTGAGAGAGAGAGAGATAAAGAGAAGATGGTTAATGGGCACAAAAATATAGTTAGAAAAATAAGATTTAATGGTTGGATAACTATAGGTCATCACAATAGGATGACTATCATGGTAATTTATGGTACATTTCAAAACAAAGAGTGGAATTGGAATGCTCCTAACAAAAATAAATGATAAACACCCTTGAAGTGATAGATTCCCCCAGTTACCCTGATGTGCTCTTGCACATTGTATGCTTGTATCAAAATATTACATGGACCCCCAAATATATACAAAAATTATGTATTTATGAATAATATTTCATAAGAATATAATTAATAATCACTATTAATGAAAACATTTCCAATAAAATAAAATAAAAGGTAACTCTTAGTCCAAAAAAGGTAAATCCAAGCAAAAAAATGTTATTCAAATGGGTAACTATACTAAAATTATCAAATTCTGGATTTGTTTGCTACCGATATGAAAAGGTGTTGTATTAATACATGGAAATAATATCTGAGGTCTCCTCATGATTCTTCTAAATCTCTTCCTCCTTTTCTCACCCCAACATTTGTTTCCTTTTTCCATTCTTCCACCTTCCTCTACAGAACTCTGTCCTCCAGAATGGTTCTGTCAATCCTAGTAGAGAGGTTGCTGCTTGGAGGGGAGACGTGGCTGCTCTCAAACAAGAGCGAGGCCCCACCTCTGGTGTGTCGGCCAGCAGCCTCTCACCTCAGACATCGTGCAGACCACTCACCACCTGCAGTCCCCACAGGAACAGCATAAATCCTCAACATTATTACCAGTTAACACATAAAACAGATCCCAGGGAGATAGAGGAAGAGAAAAATAAACATTGATTCAGAATGTCAGGAGCACTGGTCAGTTTTAAGTGGCCATGATGCCTGTGGGGAGAAGCGGTAACCCTGCAGTTATCGGGCAAGAGGAAGGCCTCCAGGAGGCCAGAGGCCAAAGAGCAAATGAACCACCCAAGAGGTGAGAAGCACCAACCAGCTTGCCTATTGAAGATTATAAAGGCTAACTTTGGGCTTTATTTCTTCTTGTTTTGGTTCCTTGAGGGGTGAAGTTAGGTTGCTTTTTTGCCATCTTTCTTTTTTGAAAAATATGGCCAGGCGCAGTGGCTCACACCTGTAATCCTAGCACTTTGGGAGGCCAAGACGGGTGGATCATGAGGTCAGGAATTCAAGACCAACCTGGCCAATATGATGAGACCCCTGTCTACTAAAAAACAAACAAACAAACAGACAAAAAACAAAAATTAGCTGGGCGTGGTTGTGCATGCCTGTAGTCCCAGCTACTCAGGAGGCTGAGGCAGAAGAATTGCTTGAAACCAGGAGGTGGAGGTTGCAGTGAGCTGAGATTGCACCACTGCACTCCAGCCTGGGAGACAGAGTAAGACTCCATCTCAAAAAACAAACGAACAGAAAATATATAGGGATTTACTTATGTGAACTTCCCTTTATTATTGCTTTTGCTACATCCTATAAGTTTTGATAAGTTGTGGTTTCATTTTCATTTATCTCAAAACATTTCTGATTTCCCTTTTGATTTCTTCTTTGACTCATTCATTGTTTAAGAATGTATTTTTAATTCCTACATATTTTTTAATTTTCCAATTTTCCTTCTGTCATTGATTTATAGTTTCATACCATTGGAAAAGGTACTTGGTATATATTAGTCTGTTTTGCACTGCTACAGAGGAATATCTGAGGCTGGGTAATTTGTAAAGAAAAGAGATTTTTTGGCTCACGGTTCTGCAAGCTGTATAAGAAGCATGACACATCTGCCTCTGGCGAGAGTCTCAGGCTGCCTCCACTCATGGCGAAAGGCCAAGGGAAGCAGCACACGCAGAGTTCATGTAGCAAGAGGATGCAAGAGGGAGGGAAGGGGGATGTCAGGTTGTTTTTAACAATCAGCTCTCACATAAACTAACAGAGTGAGAACTCACTCATTACCACAGGAAGGGCATCAAGTAATTCATGAGGAATTTGCCCCATGACCCAAACACCTCCCATTCGGCTCCACCTCCAACACTGAGGCTCTCATTTCAACATGAGATTTGGAAGGGACAAACATCCAAACTATATCATGGCATGGTTTTAATCTTGTTTAATTTTTTGAGACTTGTTTTGTGGCCTAACACTTGATCTACCCTGGAGACTGTTCTGTGTGCACTAGAGAAGAATGTGTATTCTGCGGCTGTTGGATGGAATGTTCTGTAAATGTCTCTTAGGTCCATTTATCTATAGTCTTGTTCGAGTCCACTTTTTGCTTATCGATTTTATGTTTGGGTGTTCTACACATTATTCAAAGTGCGCTACTGAAGTCTCTGATATCGTTGTGCTGCTGTCTATTTCTCCAGTTCTGTCAATATTTGTTTTATATATTTAGGTGCTTTCGTGTTGATATATACATTTATGATTGTTCAATCTTCCTGATGAATTGATTCTTTTATCATTATACAATGTTGTATTAGTCTGTTCCCATGCTGCTAATAAAGCCATAACTGAAAACTGGGTAGTTTATAAATGAAATAGGTTTAATTGACTCACAGTTCAGCATTGCAGGGGGAGGGGCCTCAGGAAACTTGCAATCATGGTGGAAGGGGAAGCAAACACACCCTTCTTCACATGGCGACAGGGAGGAGATGTGTAGCGCAAAGTGGGAAAAGTCCCTTATAGCACCATCAGATCTTGTGAGAACTCACTCACTATCATGAGAACAACATGAGAGTAACTGCTCCCATGATTAAATTACCTCGCACTGGGGCCTTCCCATGACACATGGGGATTATGGGAACTACAATTCAAGATGAGATTTGGGTCACAGCCAAACCATATTATTCCACCCCTGGCCCCTCCCAAGTCTCATGTCTTTACATTTCAAAACACAATCATGCTTTTCCAACAGTCCCCCAAAGTCTTATCTCATTCCAGCCTTAACCGAAAAGTCCAAGTCCAAAGTCACATCTGAGACAAGGCAAGTCCCTTCTGCCTATGACCCTGTACAATCAAAAGCAAGTTAGTTATGTCCTACATACAATGGGGGTACAGGCATTGGGTAAATACACCTGTTCCAAATGGGATAAATTAGCCAAAACAAAGAGGCTACAGGCACCATGCAAGTATGAAATCCAATAGGGAAGTTAATTAAAACTTAAAGTTCCAAAATGATCTCCTTTGATTTCATATCTCACATGCAGATCTCGCTGATGCAAGAGTTGAGCCCCCATGGCCTTGGGCAGCTCCAACCCTGTGGCTTTGCAGGGTATAGGCCCTCTCCTGGCTGCTTTCATGGGCTGATGTTGAGTGTCCCTGGCTTTTCTAGATGCAGAGTGTAAGCTGTTGGTGGAGCTACCATTCTGGGTTCTGGAGGAAGGTGGCCCTCTTCTCACAGCTCCACTAGGTGGTGCCCCAGTAGGGACTCTGTGTGGGGGCTCCGACCCCACATTTCCCTTCCACACTGCCCTAGTAAAGTTCCTCCATGAGGGCTCCACCCCTGCATCAAACGTCTGCCTTGACATCCAGGTGTTTACATACATCCTCTGAAATCTGGTTGGAGGTTTCCAGTCCTCAATTCTTGACTTCTGTGAACCCACAGGCCCAACACCTTGTGTAAGCTGCCAAGGCTTGGGGTTTGCATTCCATGAAGCAATGGCCTGAGCTGTATGTTAACCCTTTTTAACCATGGCTGGAATGAAGGGCACCAAGTTCTGAGACTCCACAAAGCAGCAAGGCCCCGGGCCTGGCCTATGAAACCAATTTTCCCTCCTAGGCCTCCTGGCCTGTGATGGGAGGGGCTGCTGTGTAGACCTCTGACATGCCCTGGAGACATTTTCCCCCATTGTCTTGGTGATTAACATTAGGCTTCTCATTACTTATGCAAATTTCTGCAGCTGGCTTTAATTTCTCCCCAGGAAATGGGTTTTTCTTTTCTATTGCATCATCAGACTGCAAAGTTTTCAAACTTTTATAATCTTCTTTTGAAGTTTTGTCGCTTATAAATTTCTTCCACCAGATACCCTAAATCTTCTCTCTCAAGTCAAAAGTTCCACAGATCTCTAGGGCAGGGGCAAAATGCCACCAGTCTCTTTGCTGAAACATAGCAAGAGTTACCTTTATTCCAGTTCCCAACAAGTTCCTCATCTCCATCTGAGACCACCTGAACCTGGACTTCATTGTCCATATCACTATCAGCACTTTGGTCAAAGCCATTTGACAAGTCTCTAGGAAGTTCCACACTTTCCCACATCTTGCTGTCTTTTGAGCCCTCCAAGCCTCTAGGAAGTTCCAGACTTTCTCACATTTTCCTGTCTTCTTCTGAGCCCTTCAAATTGTTCCAATTTCTGCCTGCTACCCAGTTCCAAAGTCACTTCCACATTTTCAGGTACGCTTACAGCAGTGCCCCACTACCCAGTACCAGTTTATTGTATTAGTCTGTTCTCACGCTGCTGTAATTAACTGCCTGAGACTGGGTAACTTACAAAGGAAAGAAGTTTAATTGATCACAGTTTTGTATGGTTGGGGAGGCCTCAGGAAATTTACAATTATGGCAGAAGGGGAAGCAAACATGTTCTTCTTCACATGGCAGTAGGAAGCAGAAGTGCCAAGTAATATGATTTGGCTGTGCCCCCACCCAAATCTCATCTTGAAACTTGCTCCCATAATTTCCACATCATGGGAAGTAATTGAATCATGGGGGAAGGTCTTTCCCATGCTGTTCTTGTTATAGAGAATAAGTCTCATGAGATCTGATGGTTTTATAAAGGGGAGTTCCCCAGCACATGTTCTGTTGCCAGACATCACTTTGCTCTTCATTCACTTTCTGCCATGATTGTGAGGCCTCCTCTGCCATGTGGAACTGTGAGCCCATTAAACCTCTTTTTCATTATAAATTCTTCAGTCTCAGGTATGTCTTTATTAGCAGTGTGAGAACAAACTAATACAGTAAAATGGTACCAGTAGAGTGGGGCGTGCTGAAAAGATACCCAGAAATGTGGAAGTGACTTTGGAACTGGGTAACAATCAGAGGTTGGAACAGTTTGAAGGGCTTGGAAGAAGACAGGAAGATCTGAGAAAGTTTGAAACTTCCTAAGGACGTGTTGGATGTCTTTGACAAAAATGCTGGTAGTGATAAGGACAATAAAGTCCAGGCTGAGGTGGTCTCAGGTGGAGATGAGGAACTTGTTAGGAACTGGAGTAAAGGTGTTATAGCAAAGAGACTAGTGGCATTTTGCGCCTGCCCTAGAGATTTGTGGAACATTCACCTTGAGATAGATGAGTTAGGGCATCTGGCAGAAGAAATTTCTAAGCAGCAAAGCATTCAAGAGGTGGCTTGTGTGCTATTAGAAGCATTCAGTTTTATGTATTCCCAAAGATACGGTTTGGAATTAGAACTGATGTTTGAAAGGAAAGCAGAGAGTAAATGTTTGGAAAATTTACAGCCTGATGAAGAGATAGAAAAGAAAACCCCATTTTCTGAGAAGAAATTTAAGCCAGCTGCAGAAATTTGCATAAGTAACAAGGAGCCAAATGTTAATCACCAAGACAATGAGGAAGATGTCTTCAGGACATGTCAAAGGTCTTCACAGCAGCCTCTCCCATCACAGGCCTGGAGGCCTAGGAGGGAAAAATGCCCTGCATCCAAGGTGCTTCAGCTCCAGCTGTGGCTAAAAGGGGCCAAGGTACAGCTCAGGCCATGGCTTCAGAGGATGTAAGCCCCAAGCCTTGGCAGCTTACTTGGGGTTTTGAGCCTGTGGGGGCACAGAAGTCAAGAATAAAAGTTTGGGAACTTCTTCCTAGATTTCAGAGGATGTATAGAAATGTCTGGATATCCAGCCAAAAGTTTGTTGCAGAGGCAGTGCTCTCGTGAACCTCTGCTAGGACAGTGTGGAAGGGAAATGTGGGGTCAGAGCTCCCATACAGGGTCCCTGCTGGATTATAGCCTAGTAGAGCTCTGAGAAGAGGGCCAGCATCCTCCAGACCCCAGAAAGGTACATCCACTTACAGTTTGCAACATGCACCTGGAAAACCCATTGACACTCAATGCCAGCTAAGAAAGCAACTAGGAAGGAGGCTGTGCCCTTCAAAGCCACAGGGGAGAATCTGCCCAAGGCCATAGGAGCCCACCTCTTGCATCAGCATGACCTGTATGTAAGACATGGTGTCAAAGGAGATTATTTTGGAGCTTTAAGGTTAATGACTGGCCCACTGGATTTCAGACTTTCTTGGAGCCTGTAGCCCTTTTCTTTTGGACAATTTCTTCCATTTGGAATGGGTATATTTACCCAATGCCTATACTCCTATTGTATCTAGAAAGTAACTAACTTGCTTTTGATTTTACAGGATCACAGGCAGAAGGGACTTGCCTTGTCTCAGGTGAGAGTTTGGACTGTTGACTTTTGAGTAAATGCTCAAATGAGTAAAGATGTTGGGGGACTGTTGGGAAGGAATGATTGGTTTTGAAATGCGAAGACATGAGACTTGGGTCGATCAAGGGCAGAATGATATGGTTTGACTATGTCCCCACCAAATCTCATCTTTAATTGTATGTAACTCTCATAATTCCCACATGTTGTGGGAGGGACCAAATTGGAGGTAATTGAATCACAGGAGCAGGTCTTACCCATGCTGTTCTTGTGACAGTGACTAAGTCTCATGAGATCTGATGATTTTATAAAGGGGGGTTCTCCTGCATACACTCTCTTGCCTGCCAGCATATCAGATGTGAGTTTGCTCCTCATTCGTCTTCCACCATGATTGTGAGGCCTCCCCAGCCATGTGGAACTAACTGTGAGTCCATTAAACCTCTTTCCATTATAAATTATCCAGTCTCGGGTATGTCTTTATTAGCAGTGTGAGAACAGACTAATATGCCGAATAAAGGGGTAAAGCCTCTTATAAAATGATCAGATCTGGTGAGAACTCACTATCTTGAAAACTGCACAGGGGTAACCACCCCCTTTATTCAATTACCTCCCACCAGGTCCCTCCCATGACACGTGGGGATTATGGGAACTACAATTCACGATGAGATTTGGGTGAGGACACAGCCAATCCATATCAAATGTCCATCTTTGTTCTACTTGTTATTGAGCATTTTGTGCACTTCCTACATGTTTTGGGTAAAATACTAAAATTCTGTTGTCTGTTGGGGTTAATATATAAATGGAGTAAGTGGGTTATAATTCTACTGATGTCACTAACTAGCTTTGCAACATTGAAGAAGCTACAGTGCCACTTTAATGCTTAGCTTGCTCATTTGTCAGAGTATTTACATGGCAGCATTGCCTTTTTTTTTTTTTTTTTTGAGATGGAGTCTCGCTCTGTCACCCAGGCTGGAGTGCAGTGGTGCAATCTCAGCTCACTGCAAGCTCCACCTCCTGGGTTCATGCCATTCTCCTGCCTCAGCCTCCTGAATAGCTGGGACTACAGGAGCCCGCCACTGTGCCAGGCTAATTGTATTTTTAGTAGAGACAGGGTTTCACCATGTTAGCCAGGATGGTTTCAATCTCCTGACCTTGGGATCTGCCACCTCAGCCTCCCAAAGTGCTGGGATTACAAGCATGAACCATCACACCCGGCCTGCCTTTTTTTATAATTATGATGTGAATTTCTCCTGATCTGGGTGAAGTTAGGTGAATTTACTTGTTGTAGAGAAATTGAACAAAGTCTCTCCCATGGTGACATCAAAGACTATGGTGCTAACATTATTATTTGAAGGACAACTTTATTATATTTATAAAAATGATACATGCTCACTATAAAACACTCAGGCAATAAAAAAAAGTATAAAGAATAAATTTTCTCTAATCCTCAAAAATAGTGTTGTTATTTGGTAAATGTCATCTCAGATATTTCTCTTCACAGATATATAATAGAAGGATGAAGAGGAAGAGAAAGAAATTTCTAAGTATGGATTCAGACCATATTATTTTTAATTTTAAAAGTATTACATTTAATAGCTTTTAATTCTATCCAAGAGAGAAAATGTTACGGAAGAGTTGAAATTCAGATTAATATTTATTCCTCCTTTAGAAACTAGTTTCTATAAATTTGCTCAAAGCCTAGGAAAGATTAGAGAATGAGATACCTCTTATGCACTACTTAGATCTTTACAGCCTCACTTGTCCCCTGCTGCAGCCTTGCATTGTCTCACAGCAATTTTATAAAGATACAACCTGCTACGCTGGGCATTTCTTCTCCCAATCTGGGTTTCCCTGTGGCTTTCACTATGGGAACCCACTTAGCACAGAGTTGACTCAAAAGTGCAGAGGAGTTAACACCCAGGGGAAGACTTTTTAACTAATGGGAAATTAGAGTTAAATTATTCCTACTTTCTCCACAGTCTCTAGCAGTATGATCTTAAGATGGAATTTTCATGCTTCTTGGGGTCACATTCCCATAAATCAAGCAAGCATTCACACTTAGCAGTGGCTCACCTGACAACTCACCTGTACACTGCCTCCTCCTACCTTGCCCACTCCATTTGTTGTATTCCTTACTCCAGCTTCTGGAATTGTACTTCCTCAAATAGTAATAGCTCATCAGCCCCACCTCCATTTTTATGCTCTAAAATTAATTGAATTCATTCTAAATAACTAATTGAATTCATTCTAAAATATTGGCACTAGAAATGGCACTCCTAAAATATTTAGATTATTAGGAAAACAGCCTGTCAAAATGATGTTTTGGTATTTTTGAGCTCATTACTGGCAAGAAAGATCCCAGTGCTGGTGGTAAGAGGAATGGTGTTCTCAATCCCTATCATCCACGGAATTGCCTGTGGTTAATCGGAATAAGGTACAGTTGGAAGATGAGGCATTGGAATGTGTGGGGATTGCAATGTGTAGTATTAGGAAAGCTAATGTTTATAAGGACTGTGGAGTGGTCCAGCCTCATTAATGACATTGGAAACATTTCAAAAAATAAGTAGTAGGGTCAGGGCATCAAAATTCTAACTTAAGACACTCTGTGAAAGCCAAAGGGCCTTGATAACATTAGTTTGGAAGATTTTCACCTCCTGTAGTTTTACGATAAACTTTGTAGATGAAGTTCACAATCACACCGTAAAGTGTTGGGCTGCAAAAAAGACAGAATGCAGTCCATACAGGTCACTAATTAGAAAAATCATGAGAACCAGAAGCCTGGGAGGGGGACACTGAATGATATGGTTTGGCTATGTCCCCACCCAAATCTCTTCTTGACTTATAGCCTCATAACTCCCACATATTGTGAGAGGGACCCAGTGGGAGATAATTGAATCATGGGGCCAGTTTCCCCCATACTGTTCTTGTAGTAGTAAATAAATCTCATGAAATCTAGTGGTTTTATAAGAAGTTTCTTCTATCACTTGGCTTTCATTCTCTCTTGACTGCCACCATGTAAGACATGCCTTTCACCTTCTACCATGATTGTGAGGCCTTCCCAGCCACATGGAATTCTGAGTCTTTTAAACCTCTTTTTCTTTATGAATTATCCAGTCTCAGGTATGTCTTGATCAGCAGTGTGAAAATGGACTCATACAGTAAATTGGTACTGGTAGAGTGGGGTGCTGCTGTAAAGATACATGAAAATGTGAAGGTGACTTTGGAACTGGGTAACAGGCAGACGTTGGAACAGTTTGGAGGGCTCAGAAGAAGACAGGAAGATGTGGGAAAGTTTGGAACTTCCTGAAGACTTGTTGAATGGCTTTGACCAAAATGCTGATAATATGCACAATCAAATCCAGGCTGAGGTGGTCTCAGATAGAGATGAGGAACTTGTTGGAAACTAAAGTAAAGGTGATTCTTGCCATGTTTAAGCAAAGAGACTGGTGGCATTTTGCTCCATCCTATAGATTTGTGGAACTCTGAACTTGAGGGAGATGATTTAAGGTATCTGGCAGAAGTAAATTCTAAGCAACAAAGCATTCAAGAGGTGGTTTGGGTGCTGTTAAAAGAATTCAGTTTTAAAAGGGAAACAGAGCATAACAGTTTGAAAAATATGACCTGGCACAGTGGCTCACGCCTGTAATCCTAGCACTTTGGGAGGCCAAGGTGGGTGGATCATGAGGTCAGGAGTTCAAGACCAGCTTGGCCAATATTGTGAAACCCCATCTCTACTACAAATATAAAAATTAGCCAGGTGTGGTGGCACATGCCTATAGTCCCAGCTACTTGGCAGGCTGAGGCAGGAGAATTGGTTGAACCCAGGAGGTGGAGGTTGCATTGAGCTGAGATTGCACCACTGCACTCCAGCCTGGGCGACAGAGCAAGACTCCATCTCAAAAAAAAAAAAAAAAAGAAAAGAAAAAAAAAGAAAAAGAAAAAAGAAAAAAAATTGGAAAATTTGCAGCCTGATGAAGCAATAGAAAAGAAAAACGCATTTTCCCAGAAGAAATTTAAGCTGGCTGCAGAAATTCACATAAGTAACAGGGAACCAAATGTTAATGCTAAGACAATGGGGAAAATGTCTCAAGGGCATGTCAGAGATCTTTGAGGCAGCCCCTCCCACCACAGGCCTGGAGGCCTAGGAGGAAAAAATGGTTTCATGGGCTGGGTGAAGGACTTCCCTGTTGTGTGCAGCCTAGGGACTTGGTGCCCTGCATCTCAGCCTTTCAGCCATGGCTCAAAGGGGCCAAGGTACAGCTCAGCTTATAGCTTCAGAGGGTGCAAGCCCCAAGCCTTGGCAGGTTCCATGTGGTATTGAGCCTGTGAGTACACAGAAGTCAAGAATTGCCATTTGGGAATCTCCACCTAGATTTCAGAGGATGTATGGAAATGCCTGAATGTACAGGGAAAAGTTTGCTGCAGGGGTGAGGCTCTCATGGAAAACTTCTGCTAAGGCAGTGCAGATGGGAAATGTGGACTCGAAGCCCTCATACAGAGTCCCCACTGGGGCACTGCTTAGTCGAACTGTGAGTAGAGGACCAGCATCCTCCAGACCCCAGAAAGGTAATCCACTGACAGCTTACACCATGCACCTGGAAAAGCCACAGACACTCAACACCAGCCCGTGAAAGCAGCTGGGAGGGAGGTTGTAGCCTGAAGCCACAGGGGCGCAGCTGCCCAAGACCATGGAAACCCACCTTTTGTATCAGTGTAAACTGGATGTGAAACATGGAGTCAAAGGGATCATTTTTGAGCTTTAAGATTTGATTGCCCAACTGGATTTTGGACTTGTATATGGCCTGTAACCGCTTTGTTTTGGCCAATTTCTTCCATTTGGAATGGCTGTATTTACCTAATGCCTGTACCCCCATTTTATCTAGGAAGTAACTAACTTGCTTTTAATTTTACAGGCTCATAGGAAGAAGGGACTTGCCTTGTCTCAGATGAGACTTTGACTATTGGCTTTTGAATTAATGCTGAAATGAGTCAGCAGGAAAAGACGTTGGAGGACTGTTGGGAAGGCCTGATTGGTTTTGAAATGTGAGGACATGAGATTTGGGAGGGGTCATCAGTGGAATTATATGGTTTGGCTTTGTCCTCACCCAAATCTCATCTTGAATTATAGCTCTCATAACTCCCATGTGTTGTGGGAGGGACCTGGTAGAAGATAGTTGAATGATGAGGGCAGTTTCCCTCATACTGTTGTTGTGGTAGTGAATAAGTCTCATAAGATCTGATGGTTTTATAAGAGGTTTTCTCCTTTCACTTGGATCTCATTCTTTCTTGCTTGCCACCATGGAAGACATGCCTTTTGCCTACCACCATTATTGTGAGGCCTCCCCAGCCAAGTAGAACTGTAAGTCCATTAAACCTTTCTCTTTATAAATTACCCAGTCTTGGGTATGTCTTTATCAGCAGCATGAGAACAAACTAATACACTAGATAAGCCTGAGATTCTTTAAACCACAAATTCTTTTTAAAACGCAAAAGTTGCACTCTCCTTTTTGTTGGAGAAGGGTAGCATCTCCTTGCCTGAAAAAGGCCTGAATTCACCTGAATCAAGGGCTTCACCTAAGGGCACTTGATTTCACTAAAGCACTGGAGTCTCTTAAAGGCAGAATTGATCAAATAGAAGAAAGAATTCATGAGCGTGAAGACAGGCTATTTGAAGATACACAATCAGAAGCAACAAAACAAAAAAGAATAAAAAAGAATGAAGTATACCCACAAGATCTAGAAGATAGCCTCCAAATGGCAAATTATTGGCCTTAAAGAAAGAGTTATTGGCCTTAAAGTTATTGGTTTAAAAAAAAAGGTATTAGCCTTAAAGAAAAGGTATTAGCCTTAAAGAAAATGTAGAGAAAGAGATAGAGGTAGAAAGTTTATTCAAAGGAATAATAACAGAGAACTTCCTAAACCTAGAGAAAGATACCAATATTCAAATACAAGAAGGTTATAGAACACCAATCCAATTTAACCCAAAGGAGACTATCTCAAGGCATTTAATAATCGAACTCCAAAAGGTCAAAGATAAAGAAAGGATCCTAAAAGCAGCAAGGAAAATGAACACATAGCATACAATGGTGGTCCAATATGTCTGGCAGCAGACTTCTCAGTGGAAACATTTCAGGCCAGGAGAGAGCGACATGACTGTTTAAGGTGTTGATGGAAAAAACTTTTACCCTAGAATAGTATATTCAGCAAAAATGTCCTTCAAGCATTAAGGAGAAATACGTACCTTCTTGGACAAACAAAAGCTGAGGGATTTCATCAATATCAGAGCAGTTCTACAAGAAATGGAAAGGGAGTTTTTCAAGCAGAAAGAAAAGGATGTTAATGAGTAGGAGAAATGCAAAGGGAGTTTTTCAAGCAGAAAAGAAAAGGATGTTAGTGAGCAAGAAGAAATCATCTGAAGGTACAAAACTCACTGGTAATAGTAAGCCCATAGGAAAACAAAGAATATTATAATGGTGTAATTGTAATGCATAAACTGCTCTTAAGTAGAAAGACTAAATAATGAATGAATCAAAAACAATAACTACAACAAATTTTCAAGACATCGAGAGTATATAATGAGACATAAATACAAGCAACAAAGAGTTAATAAGTAGGGGGATGTAGTTAAAGTGTAGAGCTGTGATTAGTTTTCTTTTTGCATGTATGTTGCTTATGTAATCAGTGTTGTCATCAGTTTTAAATAATGGGTTGTTTGCAAGACTCACAGTAACCATAAATTGAAAAACACAAAACAGATACACAAAAAATTAAAAGCAAGAAATTAAATAATAACACCAGAGAAAATCAACTTCACTAAAAGGGAGATAGGAATGAAGGAAAGAAGGAAGAGACACCACAAAACGACTAGGAAACAAATAACAAGATGGCAGGAGCAAGTCTCTACTTACCAATAATAGCATTGAATGTAAATGGACTAAACATTCCAGTCAAAAAGACAGAGAATAGTTGAATGGATGGAAAAAACAAGATCCAATGGTCTCTTGCCTGCAGGAAACACATTTCACCTATAAAGATAAACATACACTTAAAATAAAAGGATAGAAAAAGGTGTTCTATGCCAATTGAAACCAAAAAAGGACAGTAGTAGGTATACTTACATAAGACAAAATAGATTTCTAAACAAAACCTGTAAGAAGAGACAAAAAAGGTTATTATATAATGATAAAGGGATCAATCCTGCAACAGAATATAACAATTATAAGTATATATGATGAAGAAATTAAGAAGGAAATTGAAAATTTGCTTGAAACAAATGATAATGGAAACACAACATACCAAAACATATGGAATACGGTGAAAGCAGTAGTAAAAGGGAAATTTGTATCCATAAGTGCCTGCATCAAAAAGGAAGAAAAACTTCAAATAACCCCATGATGCATCAGAAAGAACCAGGAAAACAAGAGCAAACCAAACACAATATTAGTAGAAGAAAAGAAATCATAAAGATCAGAGCAAAAATAAATAAAATTGAAATAAAAGAAAACAATACAAAAGATCAACAAAACAAAAAGTTTTTTTAAAAAGATAAAGAAAATTGACAAACCTTTAGCCAGAAAAACAAAGAAAAAAGGGAGAAGGCCCAAATAAATAAAATCAGAGATGAAAAAGGAGACATTACAACTGATACCACAGAAATTCAAAGGATCATTATTTGTGGCTACTATGAGCAACTATATGCCAATAAATTGGAAAGTCTAAAGGAAATGGACAAATTCCTAGACACATACAACCTACCAAGATTGAACCACGAAGAAAGTCAAAACCTGAACAGACCAATAACAAGTCACAAGATTAAAACTGTAATAAAAAGCCTCCCAGCAACAAAAAGCTTGGGACTCGATAGCTTCACTGATGAATTTACCAAAAATTTTAAAAAACTAATACCAATCCTACCAACCTATTCCAAAAAATGAAGGAAGAAATACTTCCAAAATCATTCTATGAAGCCAGTATTACCATAATACTAAAACCAAAGACACATCAAAATAAGAAAATTTCAAGCCAATATCTCTGATGAATATTGATGCAAAAATCCTCAACAAAATACCAGCAAACAAATTAAAAAATACATTAGAAAGATCATTCATCACGACCAATTGGGATTTATCCCAGGGATGCAAGGATAGTTCAACATACACTAATCCATCAATGTGATACATCATATCAACAGAATGAAGGACAAAAGCCATGTGATCCATATGATCAATTGAAGTGAAAAAGAATTTGATAAAATTCAACATCTCTTCAGGATAAAAACCATCAAAAAACAGGATATAGAAGAAATATACCTTAACATAAGAAAAGCCATATATGGCAGACCCACAGCTAGTATCATACTGAATAGAGAAAAACTGAAATCCTCTCCTCTAAGATCTGGAACATGACAAGGATGCTGTGTCACCACAGTTATTCAACACAGTACTGCAAGTCCTAGCTAGAGCAATCAGACAAGAGAAAAAATAAAGGGCATCCAAATTGGAAAGGAAGAAGTCAAATTATCCTTGTTTGCTGATGTTATAATCTTGTATTTGGAAAAACATCAAGACTCCACCAGAAAACTATTAGAACTGATAAAAAAAATTCAGTCAAGTTTCAGGATACAAAATCAACACACAAAAATTAGTAGCATTTCTATATGCCAACAGTGAACAAGAAACCAATAAATACAATAACCATAAATAAAATTAAATACCTAAGAATTAACTTGACTAAAGAAGTGAAAGGTCTCTACAATGAAAACTATAAAACATTGATTAAATTGAATAGGACACAAAAAATGAAAGATATTCTATGTTCATAGATTGAAAGAATCAATATTGTTCAAATGTCATACTATCCAATGCAATCTAAAGATTCGATGCAATTCCTATCAAAATACTAATGACTTTCTTCATGTAAATAGAAAAAGCAATCCTAAAATTTATATGGAACCACAAAAGACCCAGAAAAGCCAGTCATCCTAAGCAAACAGAAAAAAACTGTTAACTGTTTGTCTTTCTGTGCCTGGCAGAGTTTACTTAACAGTTAATTTAATTGTACACTTGAAAATAACTAAAAGCATATAATTTGATTGTTTATAACACAAAGGAAAAATGCTTGAGGTGATGGATACCACATTTACTCTGATGTGGTCATTATGCATTACATGCCTATATCAAGATATCTAGTGTATCCCAGAAATATATACACCTACTATAGTATGTACTCACAAAAATTTAAAAAATGTCCACAATACCCAAAGTGATCTACAGATTCCATGCAATCTCTATCAAAATACCAATAACATTTTTTACAGAAATAGAAAAAAACCATAAAGTTCATATGGTATCTCAAGGGACCTCAAATAGCCAGTCTTACAATTTTGAAAAACTATAATACAGTTGGAGGTCTAACATTTCTTTATTTGAAAACAACTATGAAGCAACAGATGTGTTGACCAATGGAACAGAATGGAGAACTCAGAAATTTTGCCTTTATTGCCAAATCGTTTTCAATAAGGGTGCCAAGACTACTCCATGAGGAAAGGACAGTCTCTTCAACAAATGGTATTGGGAAAAACGGATATTCATGTGCAAACGGTGAAGTTTTGAGTATACCATATGCAAAACATTAAATGGATTACAGACCTAAACATAAGATTAAAAACTATTAAAATCTTGGAAGAAAAAATAGGGGGAAAACTTCAGGACATTGACTTTGGCAATACTTTCTTGGATATGACATGAAATCACAGGCAATGAAGGCAAAAATAGATATACTGAACCATATCAAACTTATAGATGTCTGAACATCAAAGGAAACAATCAAGGAAGTGAAAAGGCAATCTATGGAGAGGAAGAAAATATTTGAAAACCTTCTATCTGATAAAAGGTTAATATATATATGTCCATACATATGGAACTTCTGCAGCTCAGTGACAGAAATGCGAATAACTTGATTTAAAAGTGGACAAAAGACTCGAATACACGTTTTCCCAAAAAACATATACAGTGACCCACAAGCATATGTAAAGATGTTCAACATCACTAATTATAAGAGAAATGCAAATCAAAACCACAATGAGATATTACTTCATACTCATTAGAATGGCCACCATCAAAAGAACTGAAAATGGTGTTTCTGAAGATATGGAGACATTGCAATCCTTGTGTACATATAATGAAATATTATGCAGCCTTAAAAAAGAGAAAATTGTTTCACAGGATACTGCATAGATGAACCTCAAGAGCATTATTCTAAGCAAAATAAGTCAGTCACAAAGGGACAAATGCTGCAAAAGTCCACTCATATGAAACATCTAAAGTCATCAAAATCATAGACATAGAAAGTAGAAAGGGGATTGTCAAGGACGGGTGGGGAGTGGGGAATGAGTATTCATGAGTGTGAAGTTTCAGTTTTGAAAGATGAAAAAATTCTAGATAACTGTTTCACAACATGTGAATATACTTAACACCACTGAACTGCATATTTAAAATAACTACAATGGCCAATTTAATGTTGGGTGTTTATTTTTTACGACAATAATAAAAAACATATAGGATTCTGTAAAGTGGCATATCCTGGAGGCCTTTCTCTTCTCTTGTAGCTGTCTGGATAATAAATAGGAGTTTTAATTTTCTCCTTGCGAATTTTAAAGTGCTGCTCCAAATTGCAAGTTATTAGGGAGAATTGTAAGGATGTTGGTGATTCACCTTTCCTCATTACTGCTTCTGGGGAGGGCAGAATGGGGATGGAACAAGATGTGGGGCCACACTGAGCTGTATTGGGATTTTTTTCTTTTTCTTGTCTCTCTTATGTATAGGACTTTTTTTATAGGTATAACATGGTACATTAGGTTGGATCCCTTTCCTTGTTTGCTTATTGTTATAGAAATTTTTTGGCCGGGCGCGGTGGCTCACGCCTGTAATCCCAGCACTTTGGGAGGCCGAGACGGGCGGATCACGAGGTCAGGAGATCGAGACCATCCTGGCTGACACGGTGAAACCCCGTCTCTACTAAAAATACAAAAATTAGCCGGGCATGGTGGCGCGCGCCTGTAGTCCCAGCTACTCGGGAGGCTGAGGCAGGAGAATGGCGTGAACCCGGGAGGCGGAGCTTGCAGTGAGTCGAGATCGCGCCACTGCGCTCCAGCCTGGGCGGACAGAGCGAAACTCCGTCTCAAAAAAAAAAAAAAAAAAAAAAAAGAAATTTTTTACTGGGTATTTATTTATTTACTAGATACTTAGGGAAGGGAAATGATGTGATCCAGCTTCATTCTGCCATTTTGACTACTTCTTGTGAGCATTCTTGCATGTTATTTGATTTACTAAGGAACTCATTGCTGTGACATAACTTACTTTATATTATAACCAATTTAATATACATTGAACATGTACTCTGTCCCATACTCTGGGCAAAGCACTGAGGCTACAGAGATAAATAAGATACACCGACAGTTATGGTCTCAAGTTTGCACACACCTGAACTTCTTATGTTGAAATCCAATCCCCAGTATAATGGTATTAGGAGGTGAGACCTTTGGGAGATAATTAGATCAGGAAGGTGGAGCCCTAATGAATGGGATTAGTGTTCTTTTAAGAAGAGGCCAGAGAGCTAGTTCCTCCTCTTACCACTTTGAGAAGTCAGAAGTCTGCAGGCTGGAAGAGAACACACACCAGAACCCAACTGTGCTGGCATCTTGGTCTCAGACTTCCTGCCTTATGTGAGAATAAATGTCCATTGTTTAAGAGCCAGTTCAGGATCACTTGTTATGCAGTCAAGCTGACTGAGACACTGACTGAGTCTGTCCATTCTGAAAGTGGCACAGAACAGTTCAGTGTGGTGAGCACAGGGACCACATGCAACATCCAGGCAAGGTCTGCTCAAGGTCAGCAGGGAGAGAAGGGACGAGGACTCTGTTTTGAACCCAGGTTTCTGGGCAGGAAGGCCAGGACCTGGGACCCAGAGGAACATGCGTGTTTAACCTCGCTCTGTTGCAACAGCTTGTCTCTGGAAAAGATTGAGTGCAACCCACTTGGAGACAAGGGCTCAGAAAAGTGCACTTTGTAGGTCTTTCTCTGTGTGTGACTCAAAATAGTTCTTTCTAAAAAACAGGTAATAATTCCTTTCAAAATCTTAACAACAATGAATTAGAACAGTGATAATATCCCGTGCTGTTAGGAAAGGAGAAAGGGACATTCTGTTCACATTACTCAAACAACTATAAATTGCTTCAATGGTTTTAGAAAACAACTTGACAGAACCTATTAAAGTAAAAATACGCTTGCATTTTGACACAGAAAAGCACCTTTGGGGAATCTATCCTACCGATATAATGCCATCAGTTTATAAGTCTAGGTGAATAAGGTTGTTTACTGAAGCATTATTTATAGTGCTGACAAAATAGAGAAACTTGTGTATCAACTGTCAGTACACGGAAAATGGAATGCATCTTAGTGCATCCATCTGTAGAATATTATGCATCAAGGAATGTAATAATATAGCGTTAATTGAAAAAGACAATTTGCTGAGTGAGCACCATGTATGAATGGAAAAGAAGTCTTTACATTTGGAGTGTGTGTGTGGAGTGCGTGTTCTATGTGTCTCTGTGGCTATGTGCATTTTTATGAGTATAGAAAACAGTATGGAAGGCTGTATACTAAGGTTTCAACATTGATTACCTTGGAGAAGGGGGTAGATAACTAGAGGAGGAGGAAGAAATCATTGTCTTTGACTTTGTGATTCCCTGTGGTGAATTGTTGATTTTGTTTGTTGCAACAAGCAACATGCATTACTTTTGTAGTTTGAAAGGAAAATCCAATAAGGCATGAAGAAATAAAATACAAATCTTAACTGTTTGTGGTCAGGGGACAAATAAGGCAGGCTCAGGGTTTAGGGAATGCCCTCACCCACTGCATAACTTTCAGGTCACTTCCCCTGGCCCCTTGTGCACATGCTCATTCTGCAGCATCCAGCAGGTACCGGCAGTGTGGGTGTTCACTCTGAGAGCGCCCATCAGTGTGAGAGACACTTGACTGTTGCATGTGAGTTCTAGGATAGTCACTCTGTCCTCTGTGAATCCATCACTCGTGTAGAGTCCTAACTCTCTGGAAAGGAAGCACTGAGGTAGGTAAATGGAGCACCCAGGCGGGGTAATATGTTCAATGTCATCACACTGTGCCTTCTAAGTGACTTCTGTTCCTTTAGCCTAAATACAGTACTCCAAAAAACCTCTGAAACAATTTCCAGGCCGGGCGCGGTGGCTCACACCTGTAATCCCAGCCCTTCGGGAGGCCGAGGCAGGTGGATCACCTGAGGTCAGGGGTTCGAGACCAGCCTGGCCAAGATGGTGAAACCCCATCTCTACTAAAAATACAAATATTAGCTGGGCGTGGTGGCGCTCACCTGTAGTCCCAGCTACTCGGGAGCCTGAGGCAGGAGAATTGCTTGAGCCCAGGAGGCAGAGGTTGCAGTGAGCCAAGATCATGCCACTGCACTCCAGCCTGGGCGACAGGGTGAGACTTCGTCTCAAAAAAAAAAAATTCCATTTTAAGTAATATTAATACAACTTTGCATAATCCTAGATAAAATCTGTCCAGGAAAGGTTTTTCCCATCAAGTGCACAGCATAAAAACGTGGAGCTGCCCTAGTCCATGCGGAAAAGAATGAACTGATGAGGGAATATTCCTTCATTCTCCATCTTATATGACTTGCTCTTGGCAACTGCTATGTTTAAATTAGGCTTCATCTCCAAAGCTTTCATGGAAAAGACTGACTATTATCCCTAGTAAAAATGTTTATCTAAGAAAACTCATGTTCATTTCTAAATAAGTTGAGGGGATCTATCACAAAGCCCCTTTAAAAATACAAACACGATGCATGGTTTGTAGCTGATGTGGAGGCTTCAGTCTAAACCTGGGAGTGTAACATGGTGAAGGAAATGAGAACCAGTCTGATCTCTTGACTTTCCTGTGCACAAGGCTTGATGCCATTTCATTCTCCAAGATCTCTAAAGGTGCCTGAGCAGAAATCCACAAAGAATCCTTTTCAAGCCTTCTGTTTTCCACTTAGCATCAGACAGGTCAACTGTTTCTTTCAGGAATTGTTCGATTTATGCCATAGTCTGCCCAATATTTAAAAAACAATTTCTCTTTTACATAGTAAAAGTGCAATACTATAGGTGATTAAGTGATTGGACACCCCTGCCTCCTACCATAGGCTGAAGATGATGTGGGAAGAAATGAGAATGCCACAGAATTAGGGGGGAAGGAGGGTCCAAAAGTAAATTTTACAGCAGTGCCCTTTTCCCTGGGTGGCTTTGTCACAATGTCACTCAGGGGCTCCTTGGTGCCCGAGTCCCAGGAGGTGTCCCCTGCCCCCATGTGTTTTCATTGCTCTCTTTCACTGCCCCTTTGTTACTCAGTGTCAGTTTCCTTTTGCTTTCGAGCTGCAACAGCACATTCACACATCCTTCACCTGTCACCAGGTGATGAGGCTGTTTCCTCTGTGCATTCTTGACGCTGAACCTCGGCCTGATGAGCTGGAGTAGGAGGATTCAATCCTCAGGGCCTGGATGGTTGCTGTATGATGCTGAGTAAATTACTTAACCTCTCTGGGTCTCAGCTGCCTCACCTTTTAAATAAGAATTTTGGGCTGGGCATGGTGGCTTACACCTATAATCCCAGCACTTTGGGAGGCTGAGGTGGGTGGATCGCTTGAGCCCAGGAGTTTGAGGCCAGCCTGGGCAACATGGGAAACCCTGTCTCTACAAAAACTACAAAAATAATTAGCTGGATGTGATGACACACACCTGAAGTTCGAGCTACTTGGGGAGCAGAGGTGAGAGGATCACTTGAACCCCGTAGGTCAAGACTGCAGTGAGCCTTGATCATGCCACTGCACTCCAGCCTGGGTGACAAAGAGACACCTGTCTCAAAAAAAAAAATGAATTTTGGACCAGATGATTTATAACACTGGATGAGTGTAAATGCAGTTTAAGCAGAATGTTCTGGTGTTGTTACCTCATCTCCAGAAAAGTGTTATTTCCATCAGGCCAAATGAGCAATGTAGTGAGAGAAGATTCACTGAAGTAAGACTCAACAATAAAACTGAGTAACTCCCAAGCTTGCTGCTAACAGCAGGGCTGGAGCCCAAAGTACAGTTGATGAAAGTCACCACTAAGGGTGGGTTCCCCGTGAGTTATCTTGGGGACTTGGGGCACAGTGGGGCACAGATGTGCCTCTGGCTGGGGTGCCTGGACCTGTCTTAGGGCAATGTATGTCAAGGATTTACATCGAGAACGTGGTGTCTGTTTAAGATGGGTTCTCATGTCTGTAGGAAATAGGGGGTGTCTTTTCTTATTGCAAATCCTCAAACTGGATGAAAACCTTCACACTAGATTTTAAATCCACAGACATCCCAGTTCTGTAGTTTTGATGCTTCTCTGTGCTTCCATTTCCTTATTTCTAAGATGGGTTTGTAATTATCTGCTTCATGGCATTATTAGAACAATCAAAATTCTGTAAAGTGTCAATTGCAGCATCTGAGAAGGCAAGTGCTTAATACATGATGGCCATCGAGCTATCCCCCTATCTCAGGAGAAAGGGTGTGCCTGCAGCATGCAGGATGCAGAGGGTGTGCCCCCAGGCAGGGGAGACCCAGGTCCAGCATATACCTTGCTGGCTCAGGTGCCCTGAGGGCCGCAGCTCTGTTCACGTTCTCCATTATGAACTCCCATAGGACACCCTGTTTTTTCCACTCACTTAAGTACTTAATTAAATACTTTTTTCAAGCTTTTTTTAACTTATTCATGTGTGTGAGTTCCGTAGGATACCATGGTCCTGCCCTCATGGAATCACGGTGCTTTAAGTCGTCAGGACATTTTATAGCTCATACACAGTAGCCAGATCCCTGGATAGACACCTGAATGACAGGAGAGTGGAGCCCATGTCAGGCTGCTCGGGGCTTCCTGTGAGGGAGCATCGCTCCAGGCAGAGAAATATGGGCAGGATTTCAAAGTGTGGAGAAAAGGGGAAAATATTCCTGGTGCCTGGAACAGCATAAACAACAAGACATTATGGGGAACTCACTGGGTACCTGGAGGGAACCGCTGTGGGTTGCAGTTCTGAATCTGTGGTTGGACTCCTTGGTGAGACCACAAGAGAGACGTGGAAAGAATTAAGAGCCCAGGGTCTAGTGACTTTCCTGCCATCTTGAATTCACATCGCCTCATCTTGAGTCAAGAAGATGTTTTTCTGATGCTGGGTGGAAAAAACAATGGATTTGGGAGTCAGGAGGCAACCGTGCTCCTGGCACTAATTAGCAAGACAAACTCACTGTCTGTTTCTCCTTCTCTCAAGTGGGGATAAAGCCTGCCCTTCACCCTGTACAGAGTGATCCTGAGGACAGAATAAGATCAGAGATGAAAGGAGCACTTTGCAGAAAAGTCCAAGTGCCCACATGCGAGAGAATATTACATATTACAATATCCTCTTCTCTTTGCTGTGGAATCCAGGCCTTTTCCCAAAGTAAGAATCGTGGATGCTCACTCTCATGAGGGGTTTAGGCTTAATTGGAAATCATACCATGACATTGCCTTCTGGAAAATTCCCTGGAGAATCAGCCAAAGTAGCAGCAATTATCCGGGGAGGCAGCTTGGCAAGAACTGAACCGCGGGGGTTGGTGAGATTTCCCTAAGACATCCTGTCACACAGACAGAGTGTTACTCTTTCATTTTGCTTTTCCCACTGGGAAGACCTAATTTTTCTCTCTATTGCAGCTTAAAGTTTTAAAGCAAATTT
Source organism: Homo sapiens (assembly GCF_000001405.40). Lineage (NCBI taxonomy): Eukaryota > Metazoa > Chordata > Mammalia > Primates > Hominidae > Homo > Homo sapiens. Next base: position 153,588,941 of record NC_000007.14, read on the forward strand.
GTTTGAGTTTATAAGCCAGAAAAATGGAAGTATAACATCAAATCAGGACCCAGGAAGCCAACCCAGCTGTTGATTGGTCTTCAGTTCAAGATGGAGTCATAGCTGAGGTGACAAATTCCAGGAAGATGAGTGGTTGGGGTCCTCACTCCCTGCCAACCCAGAAACACTTCTGACATTGAATGTCACTTCCTTTTCTGACAGCATCACTGAAAGAAAATGAGAACCCTGAGCTAGTAGCTAATAAATAATAGATTTGTAAAATAGCTATATATTTATTTCAAATGTTTTGCCTTTGTCTAAAGGGACCTAGGAGAAGATAATCTTGTGTTTTTATGCATATGATTTTGTTTTAATCTAGGATTTTCTATTCCTCTGACTCATCAGAACTTATTTTATCCTACATTTCTTACTTTGTGACCTGTAGATATTTGTGCTAGATTCCTTCATTCTTTTTCCTTCTGCTGTAAGGAAACTTGTCAATGTGGGGAGCTCTTTTGAGAAATCACTCCTATTTAATAATTGTGTGCTATATCTGTGTCTTCTGTCCCCTTTTGTAATGAAAATAACTGCCCTCTGCTGCCATAGATATTAGCCACCCAGACAGCTTCACCCTCCCGGCAACTCACCTTTTGCCTTGATGCCAATGAGGTCCTCTCTGCCCTTGTGTCTCTTTGGCCTGAGACAAAAGAGTAAAGTCCACAGGTAGGTAACTCCCAGAAGGATCTCTACTGCCTAATCTCTCAGGCAACTTTTTTATCCCCGCCTTTAAATATTTTTTGTTCATTTTAAAATGATGTATGTATGTTGATGGGCAACGATTTAGCAATGCTCTTAAGAAAATGGTGCATTTTCCTTGGATAATTTTTACTTGTGATACTGAAAAGTTAGCTTGATTATTTTAACCACTTTTTTGAGAGATCACTGACATAAAAATTGTGTATGGTTATAGCGTACAACTTAAAGTGTTGCTATCTGTATACATTATGAAAAGACTGCCAATATCAAGTTAATTTACATATCTATCATCTCTACATAGTTAACATTTGTGTATGTGGTGGTGTGTGTGTGTACAGTGTGTGTGTAATGAGAAGATTTAATTTAAGATCTATGCTTTATTTTTTTAATCATCCTAACAAATTTCAAGCATATGACAGGGTTCCATCAACTGTTGTCACTAAACTGTACATGAGATCAACAGAATGCATTCATCTTGCATCGCTGAAACTTAGTAGCTTGATTTAAAGAAGAAGAAAAATATTGAGTGCCTGGCAAAATCTAAAAAGCGCCTCCTGTGTACCAAGAGCCGGGGCAGACACTGAACAAGACTCATTCCTGCTGCCGTCACTGCTGAGCTCGGGGGCTGCTGCTCTGTTTGGAGCTCCTGCTCTGTGTGGAGCCCCGTGCGGTTCTTTTTGTCATCTCACCTGCAGGCTCTTCCCTGCACTGCCACCAGCTCGATCTTGTTTTCTCTTCCCCTTTGCGCTTTTCCACAGAGCTCTGATTCGGACCTGAGTGTACTCCTCTGTGTGCACGTGCCGGGCCCTGCGACACACGCCTGTGCTTCTCGCGGGGTCAGTCATGGCTTTGGCCTCCCTGGCACTGCTGTGGTTTGCTGAGATTTTAGTGATTTCTGCCGATTGCCTAAACTCAGCCTTGGACTTCATTCCGACCCCATGCAAGGCTGTGTGGATAAGCCGCTGTGAAACCGCCTGGTACAACGTGATGACGAGCAGAGATACATTTTGCATCCCCGACTCATTATTTCGCTGTCAAAATGTTCCATTTCCTCTCCTCCTCCCTCGATTATAGTTCTCTGTGAGTGGTGACTGCATGGTTAATCACCGGCTCATCACCGGTCTGTCACAAATCCTGGCCTCTGTACTTCATGATGCATTTTGCCAAGTTCCTTCAGGGCCAGATATGGCTTATTTATCAGACTGCAGGGATTTATGAACATTTTCAGACTTTGGTCAGACACCTGCCCCCAAGATGGGGAGAAAAGAAGCAAAACAGAAGCTGGAAAAGAGGCAGCAGTTCTTACACCCCGAAAGGTGCATGTGAACCCATCAAGGGGCAACCCAGGCCCTGGCCAGAGTGTATCTTATCTTTCAGCAGAAGGACCAGGTGGGAAGTGAATATCTGTGGAAATAAGAAAGGCCACCAGGCAGATGATAAGTCCAACGAAGAACGGTTTCTTGAAGACCTGCTATGTGGGTTTGTCAATCAATGCATCCGAGCTTTTCCTCATCCTCAAGCTGGTTCCGCCTAGAAAATAAGGCTGGCTGATGTCTGCAAGATTTTGTTTCTTTCTGAACATTTTTCAAATTTGTATTTTTTCCCCTTTAACAATCCAGGTATTAGTAGTATTAAGACATCCTACATGCTGTGTGGCACACCATCAGGCCAGGCGCGGTGGCTCATGCCTGTAATCCCAGCACTTTGGGAGGCTGAGGCGGGTGGATCACTAGATCAGGAATTCGAAACCAGTCTGGCCAAAATAGTGAAGCCCTATCTATACTAAAAATAGAAAAAAATTAGCCTGGTGTGGTGGTGTGCACCTGTAATCCCTGCTACTCAGGAGGCTGAGGCAGGAGAATGGCGTGAACCCAGGAGGCAGAGGTTGCAGTAAGTCAAGATCACGCCATTCCACTCCAGCCCGGGGACTGTGTGAGACTCCATCTCAAAAAACAAACAAACAAAAAAACGTCATAGTATGTGTTTTATAAATATGTGTTGACCAAATTGGCCCCATTATTTAGACATGGAAACTAAATCGTGGAAAACTTCCACCACAGGGCACTTTGATGTAAATATTCGGTGCTTTGGGTCTTCAGCCGGTTAATGTTAGTAGCAGAACGTCCTATGTCTTCATTTGCTTTGGCAGTAATAGGGATGAAATGTCCTTTCCCTTCTTCCTTTATGTCCCAAGCCCTATCTAAGCATTAAATGAGGTTAATATATATTAATCTAATATACGGTAGGCACATTGATGTGTATTTAATGTGAGTCATGAATAAAAAATATTTTGTCCCCTTCAGAGATAGATTAATTTTAATTGATTCCTCCAGTGGGGAAGCAGCCTCTTCCTTCACCAGAGAAGTGATAGAAAGGAATTCTGAGATCCCTGATGGAGTGTAGGTGGGTGTATCCATCAGGGGTCTCCAGGGACAGAGAAGCAAGAGGATGCACATAGATATATATGAGACATTTATTCCGGAAATTTGCTCACATCACTGTGAAGGTCGCGAAGCCCCAGGATGTACTGTCTGTAAACTGGAGATCTGAGGAGCTGGCGGTGTAATTCAGGTGACTCTGAAGGCCTAAGAAACCGGGGAACTGATAGTGTAATCCTCAGCTGAAGTGGGGAAAGTCACTGGTGTCTGTCCTGGAGTTCAAAGGCCTGAAAACCATGAGCTGTGATGTCTGGGGACAAGGAAAGATGAATGTCCCAGCTCAAGGAGAATGAGAGAGCTTTCTCCCTTATTCCACCTTTTTGTTCTGTTTGGGCCCTCAATGGATCGGATGGTGCCCACCTACATTGGTGAGGGCAGATCTTCTTCATTCAGTCCATTGATTCAAATGCCAACCTCTTCTGGAAACACCCTCACAGACACCCAGGAATAACATTTTACCAGCTATCTGGGCATCCCTTAGCCCACTCAAGTTGACACATAAAGTTAATCATGGCAGTGGGATGTTTTGGCATGACAGTAGGCTGGGGTGCTCCTTATAGCACTTCTTTAAGATCCACCATAGATGGTATTTGAAATGGAAGCACTTTATCAGATGTGCCCTGGGTTATCCCAGAGAAGTGTGAAGGTGCTGGGAGAAACACACCATCTCTTGTCACTAGCCTTGGCCATGGCCCCTCATCCTAAGCAAGAAAAAGCAATGCTTGTTCAGAGAGATTTAGCACAGACTCTGAGGGAATCAGAGGTCATGCTGGCTAAGAAGGGTGTTATGTCTTTAGAAAAAGGGAGTGCATTTCCTTGCCCTTATGAATCTACAAAGAGAGAAGGTTTAAAATTTTCTTTGCCCAAATGAGCCTTTTGGACGTGTATAGCATGTGGCAGTCCTCTCCAGCATGACTCTATCCATAGCTGCTGACAACACTCCTAGTTTTTCATGACTCTTAACCTAAAGGAGGAGTGGCAGGTGTTTCACCCACAATGGTTCAAGGTCTTGATAATGGCTCAAGTATCATGGGTTGAGAGTTGACCAAAAAGACCCTTTCCTGGGAGACTGTCTTCTCTCCCCCAAGCTGTCCTCATATCCAGGAACTTAGCTGAAGATGCTGTAGAGCTAGGGTGGTGGGTAAGCCCTCGGGCTTTTTGCTGCCGTGAGTTACTCTTAAAGATTCTTTATTTTTCTTGTTCTCTTAATGTCCTAAGCCAACCTACACACTCTGATGTGGCATGGTAAAGTTGTGACTTCTATGCCTCCATGCAAAATCTTCACCTCCAGGGCTGAGGCTTGGGCATGTGCCTTCTGAGAGTTCCATTATGTTCAAGATCACCATCAAATATATCTTGGAGATCAACTGAACCAGGCCTCCTTGACTTTCTCCAGAGATCAGAGCACTGATTCTCTAGGGGAGAAGGCACTTCCAGATATTCTACAAAGGCTTTAAAAAAATGGAATCTAGATGAGCTCTACTACATGTCCTCCTCCAACTAAACTTTACCATGTTAATCAACTTTCAGATAAAATGATACACAAAATAAATACATAGACAAAATTAAGTTTGAATATATTTTCAAGATCAAAATAAGTGGCCCAAATTAATCATTATTCTCATATTTCACAGTAGAATATAATATGAGTATCAAAAACAGAGTTGTTTAGTCCAGAACATGTACCAGAATCCAAAGGCAATTTTTAAAATTTTATGTCCATGGTCCTTTCCACTTTATTATGATTGTCCCTGAAATTAGACTCATTCTTAGAAACATTACTGTTTATGGTGACCAAGATGAATGTCAACCTGCCCCTCAGCTTGTCCAAGCTTGAAACATTCTTCTTCCTGACTCTTGGTCCTGACCTCCCTTTTTACAGCATTTTCTTTAGAAAACTAGTAATTATAAATTATTTCTCTGTCCTTTTGAGATGTAAACCATTTTAAAGGCCTCTTGCTAGTTTTATAACCCAGGAGCTTTGTTCTCAAGGGCTTGGGAGCCATTTCTTTGACTGTAATCCTTAAAGAAGTCAGAACCTCTATCTCCCAGTCCCTGTAGGAGGGGAGAAGCCTAACTTTGGTGGGCACCTTGCTCCCAATTGTGAAATTACTTCCTGCTATGAAGATACAAAAAAGTTTACTTTTCCTCTGGATAAAGCCAATTAACAAGCACAGATGGCCTCTCATCTTCTCCCCCATCCCAGCTCTTAAAAACTCTCCTGCCCTTTGCTTCAGCAGAGTTGAGTTCAAACGCAGTTCTGGTCTTTCTCACCAATTGCAATAGCCTTGACTAAAGCCTTCCTTGTCTGTTTAGGTTTGTCTAGTGCAATTTTTGCTTTGACAGTGGTGAAGTGAAAAGAAAAATCTAAATGGTAGTTAGTATCTAAAGATAAAAAAAAAGGATGTCAGAAAGGAGATGAAGCAACAAGGAAACTGGAGGCCTAGATAACAATGCCCATAGTTCTTCCCAGTATTCACACTCGACTGGAATATTGCAAGGCTTGTCTTTAAGGTTTTGCAAGATCCTGGTACTCTATATTTTCCAAGACAAATATTCAAGGTGGCCTTGGGATTTGGGGGCTTTTGAGCACAATGCCTAATACTTTTTTCAGGGTGGCTTCTTATAAACTGCAATGTTGTATCAGTTTCTGAGTCATTTTAAATATTTTAACAAATGTCACAATTTATTGTATCTGTGTCTTGCAGCTGCCTAAACCAAGATACACATTCTAAGGCTAAGAAACTACATCACAAATAAAATTCTAAGTAAGAGTGAAAGCAAGATAGCTGGAAATGTAGGGAATCCTGCTAGAGCTGGAGAGAGGAGAGTCTGAGATAACCATGTGTATTTACCATGACCAGGTTTATGCTGGGCTTGGAAATGTTAAGATATTCATGTTATCAGTAGCCCACAAGACTGGATGGACATTCCTTGGGGCCCATCTGCAGTGAGTTAGGCCTCTCTAAGTCTTGTCAGGGGCCCACAAGAGGCTTCCACTTACTGAATTAGAAAGGGCTATGGCTTTAACCATAAAGGGCTTTCCTTTTTGCCAGCTTGTCTGGGCCACAGGTTCTAGACCGTGGCTTCAAGCTCAACTGGTCCATTGACCTATTATTTATTCCACACACACTCTAGCTTACTTCCCCGATTTTTATTTACCATTGCTTGTCTCCCATTCTAGCAAGTCACTCAAGCACCAAACTTGGGTGTCATCCAACACCTCTAGCCAGTCAGTGAAAAAGTCCTATATTTGCAACAATGTGGATGGAACTGGAGGACATTATGTTAAGTGAAATAAGCTAGGCATAGAAGGACACATTTCTCATGTTCCCGCTCGTAGGTGGAAGCTAAAAATTAAACAACTTCAACTCAAGGAGATGGTAGAATGACGGTTACCAGGTTCTGGCAAGGGTGGTGGAGAACAAGGATTACAGAGGGGATGGTCAATGAGTACAAAAATACAGTTAAATAGAACAAATAAGATTTAGTGTTTAGTAGCACAAAAGGGTGGCTATAGTTAGCAATAATTTATTATGGATTTAAAACTAACTGGAAGAGTAGAATTGGAATGTTCCTCAAGCAAAGAAATGATAAACACTTGTGGTGACGAATACCCCCATTACCCTGATTTGATCCTTACTCACTGTATGCCTGTATCAAAACACCATATGTACCCATATGTACACCATATGTACTTAGTGACTTAAATATTTACAACTATTATGTGCTTCTAGTAATTTCTTTTTAAAAGTTGTGTAGATTTCAGCTATGATTTTTTTCTAAACTATCACTTCTTCTCTATCATTCCTACTAAATGGTCTACTTCAGATCCTTGTCATCTCTGGCCAAGACTACTGTAATTGCCTCCCATTAGGTCACTTATCTTTTATTTCACAGCATGTTTTTCCCCACCCAGCCAGAAGAATAATTTTTCAAATGCAAGGCCAACCATATCACTCCCCAACTATACCATCCAGTGAATTCCCATTGAGCACACGGTAACATCCAAGCATCTTAACCAGGCACAAGTGACTCTTTATAACTTGTCCCCTCTCTCATCCCTCTAGTGCTATCCATATCTCAGTCCTAACAATATTGGTCAATATGAGATAAATCCTAACAATATAGACCGTGTGTCTGTTCCTGGACACATCATGCTGTTTCAGGTTACCAGGCCTTCACTCATGCCTTGTCATCATTCCCAGCCTCACAAACTACTACTTTACAATTGTGAATTGCTTATAGTTCCTGGTAATTTTAAGTCTCTGTTTGGGCAGTGACTCCTGGACTGGTGACAAGTGATCATCTTGGATGGACAATTTCCTCTTCTCCATCCCCAGAGCCGGGCTTGCCCAGGGTTCGGACCACTCTTCAGCAATACAGCAAGGAGTAAGCTTCTGTCTGGTATCATCCCACCTCTCTGTTCCCTTTCCTACCTCCCATGCAACCTGTTATCTGTGGTGCTGAGGTCTTCGTGGTACAAATCTAAGCTGGCCTCTCCTGGACAAGGACCCTTGTTTTTTTCACCTATAACTTCCTCCTCTTACTTTTCCCTTAGTAAAACTCCTATGCTTTTTTTCTGGACAGTAGCAGGAAAGAAAACCACTGACTCTATTCTTTGTGCTTTGATACTAACAATGAATACACTCCATGTGTTAAACACCTCAGAGGATTATATATATATTTTAAGGAGAGAATAATTATTTAAAAATTGCTCAAAAGAGAGAGTTTGAGGGAAGACGAGACTATTATCCAGGAACCCAGAAAAGTACTTTTAAGTAATATGCTAGTTAAACATAGGTGCATAAAAAATTACTCCAGTACGTAGTGACTTAAAACAACCTTTATTATCCTATTGTTTTTATGGGTCAGGAATTAGGGAGAAAATTGTTGGAGTGGTTTTGACTCAGGGTCTCTCATGACATCGTAATCAGGATGCTGGCTGCAGTCATCTAAAGGCCCACCTGGGCTGGAAGAGCTCCCTCTGAGTTGGCTCACTCACGTGGTTGTGGGTGGAGTCCTGTTTCTTGCAGCCTTCCCTTCCTTGTCACCTGGATCTCTACCTTGAGCTGTCTCAGTGTTTTCATCACATGACTGTAGCTACCCCCAGAATGAGTGGCCCAAAGAGCAAGAAGAATCTGCAATGCCTTTTCTGACAATGTCACACATTGTCACTTCTGCCACGTTCCGTCACCAGAAGAGAGTCACCAAGTCCAGGCTTCATTCAAGTGGAAGAGAGTAAGTCTCCAGCTTTGGAGAAGGGGATTGTCAAGGAATTTCTGGACGTATTTTAAAATGATGAAATTATCTGTACAACAAACCCCCATGACATGAGTTTGCCTACATAACAAACCTACACATGTACCCCTGAACCTAAAATAAAAGTTTAAAAAATGAAAAGAAAAATGATCTTATTCTTCCTTTGCATAAGACAAGAGTGGCAGTCTATGGGCAAAGGATGCTTCAGGACTTCTTTCTATCAAGCCCCTTCCTCCTGTTCATAGTTTGACACAGAAATTCAAGCTCCCAGAAGCATGATCCCCAAGAGAATCCATGATCGTTTACTTTTGTGTACTTTTAATCGCCCTTTGTAAGGAACAAACTATTTCTCCTACACAATGCTCACTTATGCATGAATATGTGAATTGTCAGCAGTGGTTTCTGATTGCACTTGTTATCTAACCAGGAGTACAGGACTGAAATTTTGCTCCAAATAGTGTAATTCTACTTGCATTTAATCATTGACAGTTGTGATGGTTAATACTGAGTGTCAACTTGATTGGAAGGAAAGATGCAAAGTATTGCTTCCGGGTGTGTCTGTGAGGGTGTTGCCAAAGGAGATTAACATTTGAGTCAGTGGGCTGGGAAAGGCAGACCCACCCTTAATCTGGTGACCACAATCTAATCAGCTGCCAGTGCAGCTAGAATATAAAACAGGCAGAAAAACGTGAAAAGATTAAATTGGCTTAGCTTCCCAGCCTACATCTTTCTCCTGTGCTGGATGCATCCTGCCCTCGAACATCAGACTTCAAGTTCTTCAGTTTTGGGACTTGGACTGGCTCTCCTTTCTCCTCAGCTTGCAGACAGCCTATTGTGGGACCTTATGATCATGTGAGTTAATACTTAATAAACTCCCCTTTATATATATCTATCCTATTAGTTCTGTCCCTCTAGAGACTAATATAACAGCTTTTACTCTATGAAAATGTTTAGTGCTTATTAGTAGAGAACAAGGTTCATAAATGCTAGTGTGCAAAAGAATTTTATGGAGCACTTGTTAGAATGGAGATGTCTGGGACCTAACCCTAGTTATTTTCACTTAATTGAAGTAGAGTAGGCCCATTAATCTGAATATTAATAAGCAGCAGGTAATTCTAATACTGGTGATCACAGACTGCACTTAGAGAAACACTAATTGTAGTGAGTGCTACTGGTGCCCCACCCTGATCCCTTTAGCAAGGCGGTGCACCCATACAAAGTTGCTGGCAATATCAACCATCACAGTCTCCTAGGTTTCCCTTTATGCAGATAATTCTCCTGGATAAACAAGGTTTACCTGGCCCAGGAGGCTGCATCCCCCATACCTAGCAGCATGGGGTCAATGACTACGACTTAATCAGAGATGCCAAAGACTGGACTTCTAGACTGTGCAGGAAATTAACTCTTTTCCAACTCATATGTCAGGGCTCTGTGGTTGACCAAGCTGAAGCGAGTTTCCAGCTAAGACCACATGTGACTGCTTAGCTACTTTACCCAGCCCTATTACACTTTTCTTACTCCCCTTTTCCCGAGGGTTTCCTCAGTGAATCACATGGAGAAAAATCCTTGTCTCCAGCCCTGCTTCTAGGAAACTCTATAGATTAACCACACTGGGCTTCTACCCTGAGATTCAATAGGTTACTACTGGAACAAAACAAGAAGGCAATGATTATATGTATTGTAGGAGGCGCAGTCGGGTTTGTAAGAACAAATTCAGTATTTCCACATTAGAGTCCACAACATAAAGATGTAGAACTCCATGTGAAAACACCTCAAAATTTACAAACAGTCAGAATTATCAGATGTTGGATCTCCGTAATTTTCAGGGTAATTGAAAGTGGCAGCAAAAATGTTTTTATTTAATGTAATGATGCCATTGCCTTTTCTGGATAGTATCCTATGATCTGCCCTTCCTCTGAATAAGGCATTTTGTAAAAACTGATGAAAATCCAAGAGATTAGCCTGTAGGTCTCCATTTATAATTATAGTGACTCTTGCCTTAAAGTCTTTTGTTATTTTCCCCCTTATTTCTTTAGGATACATTAGTCATTGCCTTAGTCTAGCTTATGGTTAAACAGATTTCTATTTTTGTTCCTTGATACAGTTAACCTAACTTGAATTTTCAGAATTGATCAAAATACTACATCACCCCTGATGCTAACTCTCTAATGGGATTTGAATAATGTACTGCTATATACCATCTGGAAATTGATTGAATCTCAAATACTAGGACGTTGAATTCAAGAATGTACTTTTATCCTTTTGTCTCTTCTGAGATGCTAGGTAATATTCTATAAAATAAATGTCATTCCTATTTTTTAAAAAAAACCAGAAGCAAGAAGAAAAATAGTTCATTTTATGAGTTGTATAAATAAATCTTTTTTAAATATAGAATTTTCAAACTCAAACTAAAAGACAAGTATTAAACTATATCTAAAATTATCTGATTTAATCCTCACTGATTGGGGCCTTTAAGAACAATTTGCCATAATATGAAACGAGGCAGTATACATTTGCTGATTCTAAAAGCAATGAACACTTATGATGGATAATTCTTTACATACGTAAAGTACATAAGAGAAAATTAAAAAGTAAATATAGCCTACAATCATTTCTTCTGAAAGCAACCACTCTTAATATGTGGTTTATTTTCTTATGATCATTTTTTCTATGAAGCATTTTAAAACATAATTATAATTTAAAAGTGCCTAGAGTTCTACATTAATTCTTTATATATTATCATATAATCATTTTTAAAGGTGTTGTTTCCTTTCCTCCAACATTTATATCTTTAAGAATTTTTTTCTAATTCAAAAATCATATATTGGGTGACATCACAGAAAATGGCAGAGTAGGGCACTTGAAGAATTGGCCCCTCACTGAAACAATGATAAGCTGACAAAAACTGATGGAATTTACTGTCTCAGAACTCCAGAATCTAATCCAGAGCTTACAGCAACGAGCGGACTCCTAACAAAGAGACAGGGAGCTGAATTTGGGCAAGAGAGATTTGCAGTGTTTTGGCTCACCTGCCTACTACCATGCTTCCCCCCATTCCTCAGAGTGGAGGCAACAGCTGTGGGGATGGAGGCCGACGTTCCTGGTGTGGCTTTTTGGTGCCAGGGGGCTAATAAAACCATGTTCTTTAAATACTCTGGTTTTGTGTTTTGTCCAGTATGGCAGTGCTCTGCCAGAATTGATGCAGCGACTAACCCTCGTTTTGCTCTCCCTAACTTGGGCAGGAACAGCTTTCCAGGCAGTGGGGCCTCTGTCAAAAGATTTAAAGACATGCATTGCTCATTTCTGCCTGGGTCAAGGGATGACAGATGAGACCAAAATCACAGGGAAGAGAAGGCTGAAGGGAAAAATTTCTTGGGAGAATAAAGACTCAGAAGGGCCACCACCTTTACCAGAGAAGATGAAGGGCAAAGCTCAGAACCAGCCACATGTGCTCAGAACCAGATGCATGCTCAGGAAAGACCTGAGCTAACCCTAGACTTGCATTCTGGCAGATCTGTGGGCTCCAGGCAGGCAGGTGGTGAAGGATAAAACAGAGCCATAAGTGGCCTGGCTTCATATTAAAGAAGAATCTTAAGTCAGGGCCAAGATACATAGTCTTGTAGAGTAGTATCTTTCTCGTTTTTGTTTTTGCTTTTTGGCTAAAGGTGTTTAAGGAAATATTTGTCAGATCATTGGCTGTCCACTGAAATAATGGAGCAAAGACTTCAGTGACTACATGTGAACAAGGAATACAAGGTTTGCAAAAATAGTTTGAAAAAGCCCCTAAATAAGTGGACGACTGCAGCCCTTAACAGTTAAGTACAGCAAACCCTGGGGAAGGTGGGGGATATCTGACTTCTATAGTTTCCAGATTATAATATTCAAAATGCTCAGTTTTCAACAAAGTTACAAGGCATACAAACCAACAGTAAAGTATGGCACACTCAGAATTATACTAGAAGTCCTAGTCAGAGCAATTAGGCAAGAAAACATTAAAAGATATTCAAATGAAAGAGAGACAAGTAAAATTATCTCTAGTCACAATTGCATAGTTCCTACATATAGAAAATCTCAAGGAATTCAGGAAAAAAACTACCAGTGCTAAAAAAAAAAACAAAAAACTATCAGTGCTAATAAATTCAGCAAAGTTGTGAGATATAAGATCAGTACACAAAACTCAGTTATGTTTCTGTATACCAGCAATGAACAATCTGAAAAGAAATTAAGAAGACAATTCTCCTTACAATGGCATTAAAAAATAAAATATCTAAGAGTAAATTTAAACAATGAGATGAAAAAGCTGTACACTGAAAACCACAAAAAATTACTTAAGGAAATTAAAGACCCAAGTAAATCAAAAGCCATTCTGTGTTCGTGGATTATAACACATAACATGCTTAATGTGGAAAACTAATGCAAGTGATCTACAGATTCAATGTAATCTCTTTCAAAATATTAATTTTTTTGCAGAAATGGAATAATTGATCCCTCTATTTATATTTTTAAATCATTACTCATTGTTTAATTCACAAGGGGCCTGAAACAGCCAAAACAGTATTGAAAAAGAAGAAACATAAACTTATGGTTAGACTGGAAAAGTAAGTTTTAGTGATATATAACACTACATGGCAACCACAATTGATGATAATATACTGCATTTCTTAAAATTGCTAAAAGGATAGATTTTTTATATTCTCATCACAAAAAAATAAGTTGGTGGGGTGATAGATATGTTAATTACCTTGTTGAATCTTTCTACAATGTATAAATATATTAAAACATCACATTGTATTCCACTAATACACACAATTATTAGTTGTTGATTAAAAGTAAATAAAGAAAAAGGAGAACAATGTTGAAGGACTATAGTAATCAAAACAGTGTGATACTGGCATAAACATAGACATGTAAATCAATGGCATACAATCAAGAGTCCAGAAATAAACCCATGCATCTATGGCCAACCGATTTTCAACAAGGGCACCAAGATCATTCAGTAGAAGAAATAACAGTTTTTTCAACAAATACTGCTGTGATAGCTGGATATTCACATGTACCAAAAGCATTAACAACAAAAGAAACATAGATAAATTGGACTTCATCAAAATTAAAAACACATGTGCATCAAAAAATATTATCAAGAAAGTGGAGAAATTACCTAGAGAATGGGAGAAAATTCTGTAATTTCTCCTCTTACAAAGTTTCACATCTATATATTGGACGAAGATCTAGTATCTAGAATATACATAAAGTACACTTACAACACAATAACAAACAAACAAAAACCAATAAAAAATGGGCAAAGGACTTAATGAGACATTTCTCTAAAGAAAATATACTAGTGGCCAGTAGGCACATGACAAGATGGTCAACATGATTAGTCATTAGGGAAATGCAAATCAAAACCACGAGTTATAACTTCACACCCACTTGAATGGACATGATTTTTAAAATGTAAGATAAAAGCTGGCAAGGATGTAGAGAAATTGGAAACCCTGGAAATTCCTGGTAAGAATATAAAATGAGTCGGTAGATGTGGAAAACAGTTTGCCTGTTCCTAATAACGTTAAATATAGCATAACCATACGACACAGCAATTCCACTCTAGATATATACCCAAAAGAATTAAAAACAGATACTCAAACAAATACATTTACATGCCTTTTCATAGCAGCAAATAGCCAAAAGGTGCAAACATCTGAAATGTCCATCAATGGATGAAGATGAATGAATAAACAAATATATAATATATATATTAGAATATTTATCTGTATAAAGGAACAAAGTATTGATACATGCTACAATGTGGAAGAACCTCAAAAACACTGTAGGTAAAAGAAGCCTAACACAAGGGGTCGCAAATTGTATGATTTCACTTATATGAAATATCCAGGTAAATAGATAAATCCATAGAGGCAGACGGTAGTCTATTTATTTCTAAGAGCTGGGTGAGAGAATTAGGAGTGGCTGCTGAATGGACACAGAGTTTCCTTTGGGGGTGATGAAAGTGCTTGGTACTCTACAAAGGTGGTAGTTGCACAATATCGTGAACGTACTAAATGTCACTGATTTTTTTTTTTGCTTTGAAATGGTTAATTTTGTGTTATGTGAGTTTCACTTAAAAGAGGAAAGCGGCCAAGTGCAGTGGCTCATGCCTGTAATCCCAGCACTTTGAGAGGCTGGGGTGGGTGGATCATCTGTGGTCAGGAGTTCGAGCCCAGCCTGACCAACATGGCAAAACCCTGTCTCTACTAAAAATACAAAAATTAGCCAGGTGTAGTGGTGGGCACCTGTAATCTCAGCTACTCAGGAGGCTGAGGCATGAGAATTGCTTGAACCTGGGAGGCAGATGTTGCAGTGAGCCGAGATTGCACCACTGCACTGCAGCTTGGGCGATAGAATGAGACTCAGTCTCAAAAAAAAAAAAAAAAAAAAGAGGAAAGCAAAAAATATATTTTTTCACATATATTGATGGTTTGTTCTTTTTTTATTGTTGAGTAGTATTCTGCTGTACAGATGTATGGATGTTTGTAATTACAGTGATAGAGAACAGATCAATGGACACAAGAGGTTAGAGGTGGGAGAAAGACGTGATTATAATGAGGTAGCCTGGAGGTTTTTTTTGTGGTAATGGTTTTTGTAGTTCTCGTTAGTTGTGATAGTTACATCAATATGCATTATACACGTGATAAAATATCACAGAACTAATTAACAACAAATGAATACACATGAAAACTAGTTATTTAGCTAATACTCAGTACCTACTAGTTCCAATTTCCTGATTTTGACAATTCTGACTGCATGGTCATCTGGCGTCCCATGTCCAAATGTCCATCTCTACCCAGATGCAGCAGCACTCCATGAGCTGTTCCATGAAATATATACATTTTTCTGTTAGAGTTCTTAAGGCTTTAATCTAGAACCTCAGGGCCTGATGTAATTCTCCTATTGATGTTCCCATAAACTCTACACAAAATCGTCTCCCACCATAGACACCTCTAATGATACAGAGTCTTATGGCTTCTATGACCTGAGTGGTAAGGAGGCTCATATCATACCCCAGGGCTGCTGACGTCCTAGCCTTAGTGTCATGTGGGGTATTGGTCAGAACGGAGTTCTCGAGTGTGGAAAATGCTGTCTTCAGGACCTGCAGCATGGTGCTGCCATCTTAATGGTGAGAATTGTGACCTGTATTCACTTATCCTTAATTCAGAGAAAGTGCCACAGTATGTCAAAGACTCCTAAACATTTCAGCCATATGGTCAGCCCTTTAATCTGTGTTATCTTTGAACTTCGGAACTGCCCATGTTCTACCAATGTACTTGCTACTTCTGTCCCAGGTGACATGAATTCATCAACTTGGGGACACATGCGATGTTCTGTGTAATATCCAGATATTCCAGGTCTCTTTAAGCAAGTGAGTTAATAGGGATCTAGAGATGGGCTGCGAATTTACACTGTTGTGTGTTCCAAGTAATTGAGAATTATTTCTCATTTTCCTTTTTCAATAGGAATGGAACAGAATGCATTTCCCATATCAGTGATCGCCCACTCTGTGTCTGAGGCTACGTTAATCTGCTTTAGTAAAGATGCCACAACTGGCGTAGAAACTGCTATTGGAGCTACTATTTATACGAGCTGGAAACAGGCCCAGATTGGTGAATTAAATGGATATATGAGGGAGAACATCAGCACTGCATTCCTTCTGTTTTTAAGGGTAGAACTAAATTCTACCATTCCTCTTGAGAGCCATCTTCACTATGACAGCTCTCATCCCACAGGAAGAACAACAAAGGGGTTCTGCCAGCTATGATGTGTATCCTAATTGCACACTCAGGGACCAAGCGAACAACCATTGATTGCATCCATGGACCCAGTGAAGATGCTGTGTACCAGTCTGGCCTCAGAACTCCATTTATTGTCTATATCCCTATACATGCCACCATCTATTTGTTAATGGGGAGGGTTGTGATGACACTTTATAAACCTGGGGCTCCTTGTCCAACAGCTCTCAAAACATGTAGGTATTCCCTTTCCTCAGGGTATGTTACCTACAAAAATGGCCACAGCCCCCTTTGGGAAAGGGCTGGGTGAATCATTGTTATACACAATGTTTATGGTGTTGTGAGATCCTTCTACCCAGGTACCTGACCTCCTCTTCAGTCAATGGGCTGTAGGTATGAAAAGTACTCAGGTCTAGAAAGTGGGCCATGGATCATGATTTTTTATTAGAGTGACTTCCCTCATGCTCTGATCATTTATTCTTGATTTCACCATTAATAAACCCTCCTTGGCTATTCACCTATCTTGCCCTTACAGCTTCTGTATTCTATTAGCCACATCCACAGCTCTTTTGATATCAGAAACCTGATTGCCACTCTGACCTTTCTATTCATTAAATAATTGTCTCCACTTTGCTGCTGATGGTTAAGCATTATCAAATTGTTTCTATTATTTGGATTACAAGGATCATATCATCTCCATTAATGATAATTCTCCCAAAGCATCTTCTACCCTCAGGTCTGGCTTACAGAGGATGACCACATCTGAGCTTCTGGTGCTGGTGTCCTTCTTATCATTCTATGCCGTATCAGTTGGCCTTGTGTGGTCATTTATGCATTCTAAAATAGCTTCTCTGAGTCTTTGATCTCTTCTTCCATCTGATGTGGAAGTTCTGGCATTGATACTCAGTGGAGGCGATTACCTCTCTAAGGGTCTAAGAGCTGTCTTACCAGCATGTAAGCATCCACTCTTTAGCCACAAAGATGCTAAATCGCTGGTCACAGCTAAATGCTCCCATATAAATAAACTCTCATTGTCTAACTCCATATTCCAGATCCCTTGGCCCAGCACCCTCGGGTTCCTGTTTTATAATACTTTCACAGTGCTTTGCAATCCCTACTGACTAATTGCTACCGCTCGTTCAGGGGACTGTCCCTTAGAATACCCAGAACTTTTCCAGCCAGGTTTGGTTTTGCCCCATCCCTTGTTTTTGGTCTAGTGGCCAGGATGGGGAGTGCACGTAAGCCAGGAATAGAGGTGGAGGTAACAGGCAGAGCATGGGTCATTTTGCAAGGCAAATCCTCTGCAGCACCTTAAGCAAGTCAAGAACACCAGCCTTAACTAGAAGGGTTTGGCTCCTTCTACAGACCCAGAGGCTTTAGGGTCACGATTTCCTACTGTGTACTTCCAGACTCCCCTATCCCCAGTCTCAGGGTCCTACTCTTCTCAATCACAGCTTTGATCTTGGCCGAGCATTGCTGCTGCGATTAAGAATTCATTCTTCTCTGCTGGGCGCGTTGGTTCACACCTGTAATCCCAGCACTTTGGGAGGCCGAGGCAGGCGGATCACCTGAGGTCAGGAGTTTGAGACCAGCCTGGCCAACATGGCCAAACCCCGTCTCTACTAAAAGTACAAAAGAATTAGCCAGGCATGGTGGTGCATGCCTGTAATCCCAGCTACTCAGGAGGCTGAGGCAGGAGAATCGCTTGAACCCGGGAGGTGGAGGTTGCAGTGACCCGAGATTGCACCACTGCACTCCAGCCTGGGTGACAAGAGCGAGACTCCGTATCAAGAAAGAAAAAAAGAAGAGAGAATTTATTCTTCTCTAAAGCTCTGCTTATCTTAGAAATAATTTCTGGGCCTGATATACAGATTTTTTTTTTTTAATTTTTTATCTTCTGCCCTTTGGCTGTAGAAGACAAGAACCTTTTTATATACATGCCAAAGAAGTCCTTTGCTTTTCATATTGTGCCTTTAATTGATGATGAATAACCTCAGCCTTTTATTGTTTTTCTCTTAGGTGTCAATCATCTAATTTCATGACCCTTATGGTTATTATTTTCTCCATTACCTCTCCAACAACTGAAAAATGGCATATTACACCAGCCAGTGCATTTCCTCCTTTGCCATTTCACCCCATTTCACCACTGATGGAAGTTTTTGCAATTGTGTTGCTACTGCAGAAGAAGGACTCCCTGGTCTCTACCTATCAGCAATGATGAGGTGCTTGTTGGCAGCCCACTGACAGGTGACCCAGCTCCAAAATTCCATTTTAGAATCTGTTTCATCAGACCAATCCTGGCATTAAATGTCACATGGTAACTATATTTGCGAAACAGACTGTAAGAGGGCGATGTTTATACAGGTAATCTTGGGGGTTATACCCTTGAGATAAACACCCATGAGGGAGTGACGGAGGTAGGGCTGGTACAGGAAGAAGTTGAACTATATTCCTGTTACAAAACAGCCTCAGCAGATTCTCTGGAGAGCTCTGGAGCAGAGATTGCTCTCTGGAATTGTCCAGAAGTAAGGATAGATATCCAATGACAGGTGTCATTGGATGTGGACTGTCCCCAGATCTGTCCCCTTAGAGAGAGATTCAACTAAGAGCTATCAGCAACCACATTTCCAGATCTGGATAAATTACTTCTTCTGTCCTAAAGGGGATGGGTGGAACCTGGGCCTTGTGCTACAGAATACAACATGGAATTTCAGGGAAAGGTCATCAAAAAGGTTCAATGAGTTCTAACCAGGTAGTCTTTATTCTAAGGGCTGATTAATTCCCAATTTGGGGAGCACTCCAGCCTCCAGCTTAATCATTGTGATTCAGACATAGTAGATCAGACTGCAGAATAAAAATGTTAAAGGAAATTATTTAGATGGAAGGAAACTGATCCTAGACGGGAAGGTGGGTTGATAAAGAAATGAAGAGCACCAGATACAGCCATATGCTAGTAAGTGTAAAAAATGTAAAAGCCCTTTTCTTATCGTAAAAAGTTTTTAAATGATAACTGTGTTTAAAGGACAATGATAATAATGTTCTGTGTGATTTATCCTGAAGTAAAATGCATACAAAGACAGCACAAAAGATAAGTGGTAAAAATTTAAAGCATACTGTTATATGGTATTTACATTAAATGTCAAATGGTATATTAGTATCTGAAGGTAGACTTTGGTAACTAAAAGGTGCATATTATAAACTGTAGAACAATTGCTAAAAAAGAGGTATAGTTAATAGGCCTACAGTGGTAATAAAATAGACTTATAAAATATACTTAATCCAAAATTAGACAAGAAAAAGAGAAATATATGGACAGTGAGCAAATAGAAGGTGGTAGATTTAAATCCAACATTATTTGCATTGCAGTTAGATGGCCTAAACACTCTATTTAAAAGGCAGAGGCAGAGAACTTAGATTCATAAAGAAGTAAAACCAATTATGTATCATCTACAAGGCACAGTATATAAGTATATAGAGATAAGACAGAAGCGAAAATGAGAAAAGATGGGCAAAATACTATGCAAAGAGTAATTATAAGAAGGCTGAAGTGTTACTAATTATATCACACAAAGTAAACCTCAGAACAAAGGACATTATTGTGGGTAAAGAAGAACACAGCCTAATGATATAGGGGTAAACCCATTAAGAGGATATAGCCATCCTAAAGGTATATGCATATAACAGAGCTTCAAAGTACACAAAGCAAAGGCTGAATGCCCTGAAAACAGAAATAACATATCTACAGCTGTACTTGGGAATGCTAACACTTGTTTCTTAGCCATTGGTAGAACAAGTAGAGAGGAAATCAGTAAGAATATAGAACACATGAGCTGCACTACCTTCCAATCTGATTTAGTTGATATTTATGGTACACTCTGCCTAACAATGACAAAATACATGTAATTCCAAAGGTACATGAAGTATTCAAAATAGACCCTATTCCAGGACATAAAATGTACTTCAATAATGTGTAAATGAATCAAATCATATAAAAACATATTATCTGAATCAAATGGAGTTAAAATAGAATAACAAGAGTATATTTGGCAAATCCATCTATTATCTGGAAATTAAACAAGATACTTCTAAATAGCCTCTAGGAGAAAAAAATGCACAAGATAACGCAGAGAATAGTTTGCATTAAATGAAAAATACAACATACAGAAATTACAGGGATGCAGGTAACACAATGTGTAGAAGGAAATGTGTAACTTATAAATAGAAAAATCTAAAAATAAATGATTGAATATTTCAACTGTGGAAGGCAAAAAATAAAGACAATAAACTTAAGCAAAAGTAAGTAGAATTAAGAAGATAATGAATGATGCCTGGACAGTTGAAGACGATGGCCACACTCCAGGACCCCTTCCCCCAGTTTTTCTCTGGAAAATGTGGAGAACAACAAGAAAGGAAAAGTAAACAAAACCACACCCTCAGAATAATTTGAAGACAGAAAATAACCAAAATTCAATATAAGGATAAATAAGGGTGGGACACCAAATTTCAGTATTCAACCTCTCATATCCTCCTCTGATCTGCCCCCTGACCCTGCCTCAAGGCTTTTTTTAGAAACAAAAAATACCAATAAAAAAAGGCAGGGAAGAGGAAAGAAAGGGGATATTCCTGGATCTAAGTTTGATCTAAAATCATTACCAGAAACACTTAATCTATTCTTAATCTAAAAATACTAAAAAGTGTTTGAATTACCCACAAGGTATTTAAATGTATGTGTGAATTGAAGGGGCAGTCCTCAAAATGCATAGCTTCGGGGAGAGACATGACATTTGGTAATTTGGTGGAGAAAGGGAAGAGAGGAAAGCGGAAAATTTGAAGGTCCTATTAAGACAAAAGAAAAGCACAAAATCAAAGGAAACACAATCTTTTTCACCCCCTACATACTCATGCTAAAATAAAATTTACTGAAGGATCTGAACTTTGCTCTATTAAAGAAATGGGCAATGTTTAGTCCCTCCAATCCTTTAACTATGAAAAATCAAAGTTTAACAGAATAATTCTAAGAAAACGCTAAGATTAAATTCAGCATTTATCATTTGAGGAAAATCCCCACACTCTTGATAAATAGTCATGAAACAAAATAAAACTATAAATTAGCTCTCCAAGTGAAATTAAATGTATTTAGGCAAGTATTTAGGATATGAAAAAGAGCTTTTAATAAGAAATTCAATTCAGTAGCATTTCTAAACACTAACAACAAACTACTGAAAATTGAAATTAAGAAAATGATCTCATTTACAATAGTGTCAAAAGGAGTAAATTATTCAAAAATAAATTTAACCAAGGAGTTGAAAGACTTGTACGCTGAAAACTGTAAAACATTAATGAAAGAAATTGAAGACACAAATAAATGAAAAGCTACCCTATGTTCATGGATTGGAAAAATTAATGTTGTGAGAAT
Source organism: Homo sapiens (assembly GCF_000001405.40). Taxonomy (NCBI): domain Eukaryota; kingdom Metazoa; phylum Chordata; class Mammalia; order Primates; family Hominidae; genus Homo; species Homo sapiens. Next base: position 153,610,576 of record NC_000007.14, read on the forward strand.
GTCCATACTACCTGATATGATTTGGATATTTGTCTCCTCCAAATCTCATGTTGAAACGTGACCCTCAGTGTTGGAAGTGAGGCCTATTTGGGAGGTGTTTGGGTCAGGGGGGCTGATCCCTCCTGAATGGCTTGGTGATCATGAATTCATGTGAGATCTGGTTGTTTAAAAGAGCCTGGCCCTCCTTCTCTCTCTCTTGCCCCCTCTCTTGCCATGTGACATGCCTGCTCTCCTTTCACTTTCTGCCATGATTGGAAGTTTCCTGAGGCCCTCACCAGAAGCAGATGCTGGCAGTATGCTTCTTACACAGCCTGCAGAATTGTGAGCCAAAATAAATTTCTTTCCTTTATATGCTACCCAGCCTCAGTTATTCCTTTATAGCAATGCAAAATTGACTAACATGCTACATAAAGTCATCTACAGATTCATTGTACTTTCTATCAAAATCCCAATGTCATTTTTCACAGAAATAGAAGAAACAATTCTAAAATTCACATGGAATCACAAAAGACCCTGAATATCTGAAGCAGTTTTGAGCAAAAAGAGCATAGCTGGAGGCGTCACACAACCTGACTTCAAAATATACTACAAAGCGATGGTAATTAAAACAGCATGTCACTGCATTAAAAAAAAAAACACATAAAAACAGACAAATAGGCCAATAAAATAGAATAGAGAGCCCAGAAATAAATCAAACATTTATGGTCAATTGATTTTTGACAAAGATCCTAAGAATACACAATTTGGAAAAGACAATTTCTTCATAAATGGTGCTAAGAAAACTGGATATTCACATGCCAAAGAATAAAATTGGACCATTATCCCACATCACATACAAAAATCAACTCAAAATGGAATAAAGACTCAAATGTAGGACCTGAATCTGTAAAGCTACAAGAAGAAAACATAGAGGAAAAGCTCCATGGCATTGGACTGAGCAACAATTTTTTTATATGACCCCAAAGGCAAAGGCAACAAAAGCTAAAATAGACAAATGGGATTGCATCTTACTAAAAAGCTTCTGAATAGCGAAGGAAATAAACAGCAGCATGAAAAGACAACCTATGGATTGGGAAAATGTATTTGCAAACCATACATCTCATAAGTTAGTATACAAAATATATAAGGAACTCAAACATCTGAATAGCAAGAACACAAGCTGATTAAAAATGAGCAAAGGACCTGAAAAGACATTTCTCAAATGGAAACATGGAAATGACCAAGAGGAATATGAAAAAATACTCAACATCACTAATCACCAGGATTATGCAAATTAAAACTACAATGAGATTTCACCTCACAATTGTTAGATTAACTGTTATCAAAAAGACCAAAAATAGCAAATGTTAGGATGTGGAGGAAAGAGAACCCTTGCAAACTGTTGGTGGGAATGTAAATTAGTACAACTACTACGAAAAACAGTATGGAAGTTCCTCAAAAAACTAAAAATAGAACGACCATATGATCTAGAAATCCCACCTCTGGGTATATATTCAAAGGAATTGAAATCAGCATGCCAAAGAGATACCTGCACTCTTATGTTCATTGCAACACTATTCACAATAGCCAAAACCTAAGTGTCCATCAATGGATAAATGGATAAAGAAAATGTGGTGTGTATACAGTACCATATATAAGAGTACAATGAAGTACTATTTAGCCTTAAAAAAGAAGGAAATTCTGTAATTTCTGATATGAATGAATCTGTATGACATTATATTAATAAAATAAGCCAGGCACAGAAAGAAAAACACTGGCTGATCTCACATTTATGTGGAATCTACCAAAGTCAAACTCATAGAAGCAGAGAGCAGAACGGTAATTACCAAGGACCAGGGGTGGTGGTGGTTCAAAAAATGGTGTTCAAAACATATAAAATTTCAGTTAGATAAGTAGAATAAGTTCAAGAGATCTATTATATTATATGGTGACTATAGTTAATAATAATGCAAAGTATATTTTAAAATTACTAAGAGAGTAGATCAATTTAAATGTTTGCACCAGAAAAAAATGATAAGAATGTGAGATGATGGTTATGTTAGTAAGCTTTATTTAATCATTTCAAATTTATACATAAATCAAAACATCACATTGTACTCTACAAATGTATATAATTATTATTTGACAGTTAAAAATAAAATTAAAAAAATTCAAAAAGTAAGAATAGAAATGAACACCAGAAAAAATTTCAGGAAGAAACAAATAGAGTTTATTGAATTTAGAAAAGAAATAAAAGAAAATGACAAAATTACCTCAAATTTTAGTAATAAATTACACCATTTAGACTCAAAAGAAAATTTGGTAAGAGTCATTGAAGAAAGATTAGAAAATAATCAAAATAATTTTTTTAATGAGGTAAAAAATAAAAGAATCAGAGAAAAAGTAGTGGAAATGGAAGATAGGAAAATAGGAATAACATTTATATTTTGGGGGTCCCCCAGAAAAAAAGAGAATAAGACTATTTTTTAAAACTATAACACTGAGACTTTGCTGAAGTTGCTTATCAGCTTAAGGAGATTTTGGGCTGAGACAATGGGGTTTTCTAGATAAACAATCATGTCGTCTGCAAACAGGGACAATTTGACTTCCTCTTTTCCTAATTGAATACCCTTTATTTCCTTCTCCTGCCTGATTGCCCTGGCCAGAACTTCCAACACTATGTTGAATAGGAGCGGTGAGAGAGGGCATCCCTGTCTTGTGCCAGTTTATTGTGGCATTATTCACAATAGCAAAGACTTGGAACCAACCCAAATGTCCAACAATGATAGACTGGATTAAGAAAATGTGGCACATATACACCATGGAATACTATGCAGCCATAAAAAATGGTGAGTTCATGTCCTTTGTAGGGACATGGATGAAATTGGAAACCATCATTCTCAGTAAACTATCACAAGAACAAAAAACCAAACACCGCATATTCTCACTCATAGGTGGGAATTGAACAAAGAGATCACATGGACACAGGAAGGGGAATATCACACTCTGGGGACTGTGGTGGGGTCGGGGGAGGGGGGAGGGATAGCATTGGGAGATATACCTAATGCTAGATGACGAGTTAGTGGGTGCAGCGCACCAGCACGGCACATGTATACATATGTAACTAACCTGCACAATGTGCACATGTACCCTAAAACTTAAAGTATAATAAAAAAAAAAAACTATAACCCTAGGAAACGTTCTAGAAAAAAAAAAGATTACTCAAGAGTACTATACTTTAAAAGGACTTATCAGGTGCCTGGCAACATTAATTCAGAATAACCAATTCTGAGACATATCCTAGTAAAACTTTTAGATTTCAAAGATGAAGAAAAAATTTTCAGGGCCTCCAGCAAAAGATCAAATAATTTACAAAGATAAAAGAACTAGACTGCCATCCAATTTTCAAAAGGAAACATACAGAGGAAGATAAAAATGAAGCAGCATTTTAAAAAAAAGCATCAAGACTATCAGAAAACAGTTTTCAACATGTAAGAAGCAAGGGAATTTTGTATCCACAAGCTCTTCTTGAAGAATTTATTAGAGAATGAACTTAATGTATCACAGTGACCCAATCTGAAACAATTTGAACAAAAAAGTAATTAATGATAGAAATGGATAATACACTATATAATAAAATAAACACCTATGATGCCATATTAGCATAAAGAAACACAGGGGAAAGACCAGCTTTTCCTTGTATTATAATTCTAATTAATACACATAGAAGGAATGATGGAAAATGAAAGAAAAACATTAAGCAAACACTATAGTAAAAATTATTACAGGCAAGAATGATGAATAGTGGACAAACTATTGGTGGACTGAAATTAGTGGACAAACATATGAAGACATACTGTATATTTACATAGAGTTAAAGCATTTTCCCTCAAGATAGTTGTTAATTAAAACAGGAAAAGGCAGGGTGTGGTGGCTCACGCCTGTAATCCCAGCACTTTGGGAGGCCGAGGCGGGCGGATCACGAGGTCAGGAGATCGAGACCATCCTGGCTAACATGGTGAAACCCCGTCTCTACTAAAAATACAAAAAAAAATTAGCCGGGCGTGGTAGCGGTGCTTGTAGTCCCAGCTACTCGGGAGGCTGAGGCAGGAGAATGGCGTGAGCCTGGGAGGTGGAGCTTGCAGTGAGCCGAGATCCCGCCACTGCACTCCAGCCTGGGCGACAGAGCGAGACTCCGTCTCAAAAAAATAAAATAAAAAACAGGAAAAATCATAACTTTACTGTGGAGAAATCTGGAAATAAAACACATTAACCAAGGAATCAAATTTAACATCATCAGTAGTAAGACATATTGATACCTCCTCATAATGATGCACTGAGCAACTGAAATTAAGAAAATAATTCCATTTACATTAGCATAAAAATGAAATGCTTAGAAATGTACTTAACAAAATAAGTGCATGACCTATACAACGAAAACTGCGTAAGATTGTAAAGAAAAATTTAAGAATAAATTGTTACTGAATTGGAAGTTTCTGTATATTTAGATAGTAATTATCCACAAAATTGATATATGATTCAATGCGATCCTGATCTAAATTCTATTTGACTATTTTATAAATTTGATAACCTGCTTTTAAATTTATGCCAAAATGCAAAGAATCCTAAATAATTAAAACAACCTTGAAAAGGAGGAGGAAGATTGTAGTTATAATGACTGATTTGAAGACTACTGATTACTGTAATAAAGCTTCAGAAATCAACATAGTGTGGTTGTTGTAAGGATTGATCCATGGAAGAAAATAGAAAGACAGAAAATAACCAAACCTACATGGCAAGTGAATTTCAAAGAAGCTGCCAAGGCAATGAAATGCATTAAAAAAGAGACTTTTCAACACATGATGCTGGAACAACTGGATATCCAAGTAGAAAAGAATAAATCTCATCTAGAAAACAAAAGTGCAAAATTTAAAGAAGAAAATATTGATGGAATTCTTCGTGATGTTTAAGTGGGAGCTTTTATTTATGTGGGGCAAAATGAAAAGCACGAACTGCACGGATAAGAAAGTTGATAAATTGTATTTCATTAAAATTAGATTCTTCTGATTCTTGAAGAACATCTTTATATGAAAGGGATAACTATGACCTGGGAGAAACTATCGCAATATATAAATACAGAAAACTCTTAAAACTCAATAATAATAAGCAAACAACTCTATTCAAAATGGTTAAAAGATGTATGCTAACACTTTGCAAAGGAATGTATATCCATATTTAGACAGTAAGGACATCAGGAAATGCTCAACGTTGTTAGATATCAGAAAAATCAAAATTAAAACTACGAAAATGGTCAGAATTTAAAAGACTAACAGTACCAAATAGTGGCAAAGATGTTAACCAAACAAAACAAAGATCCCCAGCAGCTGGTGGAAATATAAGATGGTACATCCATCATGGAAAACATTTTGACAGTTTCTCATAAATTTAAGTGTTTATTTACTAACTCTCCCAAAAATTCAACTCCTGGATACTTACTCAAGAGAAATAAAAACATGTGCTCACATAATGACGTGTGCTCTATTCATAATAACAGAAAACTAGCAAGAACCAAATATCCACTGACAGGTGAATGGAGAACCAGACTGTGTTACATCCATACAATGAAAAATGGAAAATTACCACTCATCAATAGAAAGGAAGAAGCTGCTGACCCATGTAACAACACAGATGATTTGCAAAAACATTGCACTGAACTTAAGGGGCTCGACACAAAAGAGTACATAGTGTATCATTCGGTTTCTTTGAAATTCTAAGAGAGGCAAAACTAACCTATAGTGACAGAAAGTGTACCAATTTTTGCCCATTGTTAGGGGTTGGGAAAATTGACTAAAAGGGGACATGAGGGAATTTTTGGGGATAAAAATATTCTGCATTGAAAGTAGTGATGGTTGCATGGGTGTATACATTTGTCAAAACTCATTGAACTGTGCTCTTAAAATGAATGCTTTTTATTGGTGTGTAAATATACCTTGATAAAACTGATTTTAAAACAATCACACCTTAGAGGCAGGCTCAAAGCATAGCACTAGCTCTCATTCATATACATAGTTTGGCTGCTTGAGAATAATACAGTCTGGAACAATTCTGCCAGTCCAACTGATCTTCCTATTTTCTGTCTCCTCAAAACTCAAAAGGGCAATGAAATGACTTTGAAAATTCTCTGACTTTCTAGTGCTAGGAGCACTTTTTAGAAATTCTGTGTGGCCAGTGGAGAGCACCTGAGAAGTCCATTTGCTCACAGCAAAGCTGCAACCTCAGACCTGAGGTCTGGGGCCAGATCTCCAGCTGTGAGAGAGGAGAGGACGGCTCAGTTGCAGAGGGTCAGAGTAGCAGGAAACCTGACAAGACGTAACACAGGAGGATGCTAATCTTAGGGTGTGAGGTTACAGTTAGCCACAGCAAAGGTGTGGCACTGAGAACAAGCTTTCTCGTTGTTTCTGGGCTGCCTCCCAGTGCTGTGTTAAAGCTTCTTGGCTAAGACTTCTGGACACCAGCGTGGAGCCAGGCATTCATTCAGAGGTCAGGTCTTGCCTGCTGTGGGTTCCTCCTACACGGCACCAGCGGGGGCTGACAGCAGGCCCCTGCAAGTGCTTGATAATCAGCTCCTCTTTTGCCTCTAGTCCAGTCGACATTTTCTTCCCTCCCCAGTCAGTGGGGGAGGACAATCAATTCTTCATACTGCCCTGGAAAGGGATCGTTATAGTGCAGCCATTTGCCTGACAGCTATGCTCACTCTGGGAGCTCAGCCTCTGAGGTCATTTGTTTGCCAACTGCACCTGCTTTTATGACTTTTCCTATGTCTTGACACCCCTTCCTTAAATCTTCAAAAAATACGGACCTTAGATTATTGACTAGGCATTTCTGAGTCTGAACTTCCATTTTCAGAAAGTTGCAAATAGCTTTCTTATAAAAGTTTTTAAAAATGCAGGTAAGCTTTCTTCAAAGTAATATATTCTTATAGATATTTCTAAAGGACAGAGAAGTAAAAAAGAGGACTTTAAAATCACCTTTAATACCCTCCCCTTAAAGTAAAATAATTGCCATTTACATTTTATTGAATTTCCTTCTGGTAGGGACTTAATTTATTTGTGCTCTGGCTTGTTGCCAGAAGGATCCAGGATAGTTCACATGGCCAGTTCATGGCAGCTAAGCCCTTGCCTATTTTCATTTCCATTATATCATCTGTGCTTAACCCAGTACCTGGGTAGACAAAGCACTTAGTAAATACTTTCCAAATAGATAGGTGAATAAACATCATCATAAGCCTGAGACATTTCATTCCAGACTTCCTTATCCTTTTCCAGCTTATCCTTACTCTGGCTGGATGGGACATATCCCAGAGGTAGGCCTTATTTGGAAAGAGAAGAATGGTTCCTTAAGTGATGAATGGCTCGCTGGACCAGGACTCCTGATAAATGATGCCATAGGAGTATTTTATTGTACAAACTACTCCTGAGTACATGGTTGGATAATAAGATCTAACAATTGTTACGAATCTATAATATACTTGTTACAAATTATGTTGTTACTTGTTACAAACACAAATTACTAGTTACAAATTATGCATATTAACTCATTTCCTATGATCACTCCATGAAATGGTGGCTATTTTATGTCTAATTTATAAATGAGGAAAGTAAGGATCAGAGAGTTTACATAACTTTTTTAATGTCACACAGCAGAGACAGATTTGAAGCTAGGCTCTCTGGTGCCAGGGCCTGAACTCTTTTATCCACCACACCATGATGTGTGGTCACCATGCTAGACAATGGTCATGATGTTACATAAGCAGTGGTCAGGAAAGTCCATACTCTTAAGTTAGATGTGTCTGGAAGTCCATTTCCCACTCTCTGCCTTGCCAGATGCAGTAAGACTGAGGGAGTAGCAAACTCCAGAAGGCAAACACGTGAGAAGGCCACCTGAACGCGGTGGGTGGGGAGTTTGTTGCTCTGTGGGACACCTGAGACACACTCTTCTCCTGACAGAGCACTGATGGCCACTGAAGCTTCTTTTTCTTAATTAGTTTAAGTTCTGGGGTACATGTGCAGGATGTGCAGGTACCTTGCTACACAGGTGCACATGTGCCTCGGCGGTTTGCTGCACCTATCAGTCAATGAAGCCCAGCATGCATTAGTGATTTTTCCTGATGTTCTCCTCCTGCCATCCGCCCTCCCCAACAGACCCCAGTGTATGATGTTCCCCTTCCTGTGTCCATGTGTTCTCATTGTTCAGCTCCCATTTATAAGTGAAAACATGCAGTGTTTGGTTTTCTGTTCCTGCATTAGTCTGCTGAGGATAATGGCTTCCAACAGCAGTGATTCATAGTCACCTAACTTCAGAGAGGAAACCTGGTTCTATTGAACTCTCTCCTGACTTCTGATACGTTGAGAGGTAGTGAGCCTGGATTTCACCTCGTAATTCACGTGGTACAGGTAGATATTCTCACCAAAATGACATCATTCATTCAAACACCGACAACTGTAGTTTAACCCCAAGATTGTAAGTGGTGGACAGAGAACAGGTGAACGCAGACTTCACGGCCTTGGGCCATACCTTCTAAACCAGGAGACACACAGGACACATCAAACTCATAGCAGGGAAATACACCTGCTAACCTTTAGTAGGTGACTCATCTACTACATTCACTGTGGCAGAATCTCATAAACTAACTCAGGACAAAACTGACTTAGTTTATGAAAAGACAGCATAGCCACTACAGATTTCTAGATTCTATTCTTAGGTCTTATCTCTTGCACCGTCAATAACTCAATAACAGGTCAGTATTTATTTGAATGCCCCACAGCATGTGCGGAAGGCCCATTTCTTTAGCATGTTAAGAAATGACATTAGTAGGCTGGGCGCAGTGGCTCCCGCCTGTAATCCCAGCACTTTGGGAGGCCGAGGAGGGCAGATCACGAGGTCAGGAGTTTGAGACCAGTCTGACCAGCATGGTGAAACCTCGTCTCTACTAAAAATACAAAAATTAGCGCGGTGGCACATGCCTGTAGTCCCAGCTACTCAGGAGGCTGAGGCAGGAGAATCGCTTGAACCTGGGAGGTGGAGGTTGCAGTGAGCCAAGTTCTCACCACCACACTCCAGCCTGGGCGACAGAGTGAGACTTTGTCTCAACAAAAAAAAAAAAGAAATGACATTAGTAATCATGGCCATACATCATTCAAATACCACCTCTTGAGTCTTTTAGTATGTGCTTGGCCCTGCAGTTAGTGTTTAGACCCCTTAACAGGGTGATTTGGTAAAAGTTAGTAAGCAGTTAAGCTGCATAGCTGAATGTGATTTTTAACTGTACTCTTAATCGTGGTGGCATTACAAGAAGGATGTATGGTAGCACAGGGCTGGAGGGAGAACACCAATGGACTTCCTCTTAGCCCTGCACATTCGCTCTGCTCACCTTATCTAGGAGCTGAACGTCAGTTTGTTATCAGACCATCAGGTGATGCTGTGGATCTGCGTGGTGCGTAACACGTGGGGTGATGAACTTCACTTTACGCCATCCCTTGCTTTGTCTCAAGATCCACCCCTTTGTCCTATTCCCCGGGGGTCTGTGCAGTTATTCTGACAAATGTTGTCATTCAAAGAAAAAATTGCTGGCAACCCAATGTCACCTGTACCTATTGGTGGGGACTGAGCATGTTTGCAGAAACAGGATACCTAAATCCTAGCAAAGTGCAGTACGTGCCCAACAAATACAAGTTATAGCTCAGAGAAACACAGGTCCTCCCCGTGCGGGCCACACAATAGACTAGAGATTGCTTTTACAAAAACCTGCAATAACGCAATATAATAAGTAAAAAATAATAACACAGAACCAAAGTTCCATTGTGGGGCAGTAGCTGCTTTGATTGGGCCACGGTTGTGTCTAGAGTCTTGAAAAGCCTCCACTGTTCCTTCATGTCTTTCTTTAATATTCTCTTGCATACATATGTATGTATTTTACAGGTGAGCCTATGACTATTCCTTCATGTCTTTCTTTAATATTCTCTCGCATACATATGTATGTATTTTACAGGTGAGCCTATGATTGCTTTGATTCTTACCAGATAGGATGTTATCCCTCAGCCTGGAAACATTTGGGTCATCTGTTGAATACATAGCTAATACCAACTGGTAATTTTCATGCAGAGTGTAGTATAATGCTTTCTCCAATACATGGTTTAGCAGCAATAAAGAAAATGTTACCATTTTCATCACTGTCATCCAGCAACAACTGAACTGCTTATCATGATCTTCTCCTGCCATGTGTGGAGATAGCCTGAGAAGATCAACAACTATCAAGGAGGCATTGGTGAGTATAAACGATCATTAATTAATCATGTTCCTGCTCTGCTAGACTCCTGACTGATATATTGAAACAAAGTTTCTTGCTGAAGAATAAGTAGTATGAATGACACTGTGTTATTTAATAATGGAAGACTCCATGAAAGCACAAGACATATACATGGTTGATGGGCATTCAGAGTTGCTAGTTTCAACCAGGGATCACATTTAAACTTCAGTGAATAATTTATTCTGGAAAACTCTCACAGAGCAGTAAATGGCCTCCATATTTTGTAGAGATTTTCTTCTCTTAGAAGTTTATAAGAACACTCTGTGTGCTCAATATTTCAGAAGGGGATGGTTTTTGATTACTTTATGCCCTTTATACTTAGCAGCCCAGCAGTTCTCACCTACAGCCAGCATTGTTGGGATATCATTTTGTTTCCATGGCATTGCCCAGATGAATTGTCTGGGCAATGCAGGAGTGGAAGTAAATTAACTATCAAGAGCAAATGGAAGATTCACTTCATCACTTACCAGAGACAATATATCATCAGCATTTTCTTGATTTAACGTTTGTCTGGGTCTTGTTTCTAATACATTTTTTAAAAATGAATATACAGTAACATACTATCTGCCTGGCATCATGAAGAAATGAGCGATATCATTGACAATAATAAATTATTTTTTCTAATTACGAGAATGATCTTATTTTGAAAATGAAATGTTCAAAAAAGACCAATTGTGAAAATAAAAATTATCTATAATACTATAATTACAGCAATCGAGACAACAGCCTTAACCATCCTATCGTAAATTGTTTTAGCTTTTTTTTTTCTATTCAGGCTACTTATATGCACGCATGTGCATATGATTTACATAGACTTAATGTGCATTCTGTTTTATAACATTGTGATTTAATAAGCCATAATTACTTTTGTATGTCGTCCAATATTTTTCTACCTTAAACATTTTGAAGAATACATAGAATTTTGTCTTTGGAGCTATTCTAACTTATTTAGTCAATAACATAGTGTAAAATATTTATTGTTTTTAATTTTAAATTGTTTTAAATTGTACAATAATAAGCAATTACTGAGAACCACCTTGGTACATCTCTATACATAATCCGAATATTTCCTTAAATGAAATTCTTACAAGTGAGATTGCTGTCTTGAAGATAAAGTACATTTTTAAGTCTTTTAATACATATTGCAAAATTACTTTCCAGAAAGATTGTAGTGATTTACATTCAAACTAGCAGTTCCATTTCCTCAAGTCCTCTCCAAAACTAGCTATGTAATTTATTATGTGTTTCTTGGCAAATTGTAAAATATTTTTGTATCTTAATGACATTATAAATTCTATTTTCTTTATTACTGGTGATGTTAATTTTACATCTAATGTATATTCTCTTTACCTTTTTATTATTTTGCGGGGAGTCTCTTTCCTTTTTTAAAATTAATTTATTTATTTTTATTATACTTTAAATTCTGGGATACACGTGCGTGCAGAACGTGCAGGTTTGTTACTTAGGTATACACGTGCCATGGTGGTTTGCTGCACCCATCAACCCATCATCTACATTAGGTATTTCTCCTAATGCTGTCCCTCCCCTAACCTCCCACTCCCGACAGGCCCTGGTGTGTGATATTCCTCTCCCTGTGTCCATGTGTTCTCATTGTTCAACTCCCACTTATGAGTGAGAACATGCAGTGTCTCGCTTTCTGTTCTTGTGCTAGTTTGCTGAGAATGATGGTTTCCAGCTTCATCCATGTCCCTGCAAAGGACATGAACTCCTCCTTTTTTATGACTGCATAGTATTCCATGGTGTATATGTGCTACATTTTCTTTATCCAGTCTATCATTGATGGGCATGTGGGTTGGTTCCAAGTCTTTCTAAAAGATGGTATACATGTATTAGTTACCCATTTTTATGTAACAAATTACCACAAACTTACAGGCTCAAAACAATACAAATTCATTTTACAGTTTCTGTAGGTCAGAACTCTAATGTGGCTTAGCTGGTCCCCCATGTCAGAGTCTCTCACAGGCCACCACCAAGGTGTCAGCCAGGCCTGGGGTCTCCTTTGATAGTTCAATAAGGAGGGATCGTCTTCTAACTCACCTACGTGGTTTTGGACAGGATCTGCTTCCTTTGGGTCTGCCTTTTACTCACGTTTCCATTGTCACCTCTTGATATTGTCAGTTTTCTTGCCTCTTCTAGTAACTTCCTTTCTCTCTGGGAGAGAATGACCTGACTAACAAAGCTATTGAAATTTGGTTATGCAATAATTACAAGGCGTCTTATTAATTATTTGACTTGGCATGTTTGCTAGATAGGTAATTACACTTTGTCTTGTTTCGTACTGCTATTAACATTCCAGAAATGTACCAACAGTAACTTCTCCCCTATCTCCTCCCTCTTCTACTCTCAGGAGGCAACCAGGCCTCAATTTCCAACATCTAAATCTCTTTGTTCCTGGGGAGGAGTTGAGTGTGTGTGTGTGTGTGTGTGTGTGTGTGTGTGTGTGTGTGTGGACTCTGTAAAAGAAGTTGCCAGGAGCCTACACAAATAATACCTAAGGGACCTTTCCAGTGGCAACTTTAGAGCATCTTTATAAGGGAAGTCTCAGGGGTCAATCTTCTTGGAAAGGAGAAATAGAGTTTTTTTCTGAAGCCAGGTTTACTGAGGAAGTGCATTGTTTTTATTTACAGTGCATATTTATTTGCAGTAGGGGAAAGCTACAGACTCCTTTAATCATTGGTATCTATATTTTACAGCTACCAACTTTTACCATCACAAAGAATAAATGACAACATGGCCCCGATCACACTACTGGGTTGGAGACCTGGAGTTTGAAGCAGATCGTCTTCTATTAAACACATGATGCTCTCCAGTAGAATAGCTGAAAGAGAAGACACTTCATCTTTAAATCCTCGCTGCTTTATTCCAAATATATCCAATGAGGATTTTTATATTCCAGGATTCTCAATGTCTCTGTTGTCACAAAAAGAACTGTAATTTAAGAACCCTGAGTTTTTGTTACATTAACTGGTTCTATGGTAGAAAAAGTAATTATCTGCCTAATATCACATTTTTCATCTTTTTTAATTGACAAAAGTCTTGCTTTTGGGTTACTCTTAGTTTTGGTTTGTTTGTTTTGTGGTATGTGCGTGTGTGTGTGTGTGTGTGTGTGTGTGTGTGTGTGTGTTTAGGGCACCAACTGCATTGAGCTAAAATATAACATTTTTCATTGTAAGTTGAACTATAAATGGTCATATGACTGCTGTGGCCAGTGAGACACTCTTAGCCGGGAATTTGAGAAAGGCTTCTTCAACAAGGGACAGGGAGTCTGAAGGCACGTCTTCTGCTTCTTCAACAAGGGACAGAGAGGTTGAGGGCTCCCCTTCTGCACTTCCATCTCCCTGCTCCTTGCCACCTGGCATGTGGATGAAATACTGCAGCTCCTTCCTTGGATTCACGGGGGAAACCAAGCAAATGGGAACATGGGGCTGCTGTGCCAGTCCTGGGCTTCCCACCTTGGATTTATTTTCTGCGAAACGAAATATGTTCTTATATGTGGACGCCACTGTTAATTGTTTTTCTTCTTATATTCAGCCAACTCCTAACTAATAAACTGTGTAATTTGTGAATTCACACCTCTGTGCCTAAGATTTCATACCTGTAAAATACATTCCTATGAGAGGTTGGAGGAGGAATTGGCATGATGATTGGGTGATTTAAAGAGTCCTCTTAACCCTATTATTTTCTTGTTCTATTTAGATTCCAATTATCCTACCTATTCCAAAGCCTCAGAATATTGACTCATAAGTCTTTCATTAGCCTCAAAATGTCCAAGTTTTAGTATGAGTCACATCACTAAAAACACAAGAAGAGATCTAATCCTTTAAGGTATTTCCTCTTATTAGCATAATAAAGCCTCATTAAATTAGATTTTACTATAAAATTGTGTGGCAATTTGGATAGAGGCTAGATCAAAAACGGAGTCAACTTTTTAATCAGAAAAAAACTTTCTGAACAAATTGAAACTATAAATAAGACAACTTATACCTGCTTTGGAGAGGAAACGGTTCTCAATTACTGTAGAAAATCTATTTACATAGAATTAATTAATATCTTAATTAAAAATCATTTTCCCCAAGCTTATTAAGTTTTGCTCATTGGCAACATTTTGCTAGCTGTTCTTCACTTAATGTTGGAATAAAGCTGGAAGTACTGAAACCTCACAGCTTTTGAAGTCTTACGGAACTCATACAATATTAACTAGTTTATCTAAATCAATGAGATTTGCTCTTGGTTAATTTATATCTCTTTTAGATGTAGAAGCAGTAGAAAGATTAAATATAATACCTTGTTCTTAAATTATTAATATTTCAGAGTTTTTATTTCCTACAGGTTATGACACTTCAAGGCCCTCTTAGAAAATGGCTTGGGAGAAAGAAACTAAGAATTTCACTGAAAGATAATAGAAGCACTAGCTCCTTAGGATAAATGATTTTCTTCCTGTTTTCCTATTGCAGCCAGGAGGAAGTAAAAACTGATGGTAATACTGAAATGCCAAAGAGGACTCATGAGCTGTAAAAGTTTCATCTCAGTCATGGGAGTCATTTGTGACACAACAAAGACAGAGATTTTTCTGTTGTTCATAAGCTGGTTTCCTAGGTATTTCATTTTTATTGTGGCATTTTAAGTGGGATTATAATCTTGATTTCACTCTCAGCCTGGACATTGTTGCTGTATAGAAATGCTACTGAGTTTTGTATATTGATTTTGTATCCTAAAACTTTACTAAAGTCATTTATCAATTCTAGGAGCCTTTGGCAGAGTCTTTAGGATTTTCTAGATATAGAATCACACTGTCGGTGAAGAGAGACAGTTTGACTTCTTTTTTCCTAGTTGGATGCGCTTTATGTTTTTCTCTTGCCTGATTGCTCCAGCTAGGACTTTCAGTACTATCTTGAATAGGAGCGATGAGATGAGCATCCCTGTCTTATTCCAGTTCTCAAGGGGAATGGTTTGAATACTTGCCCATTCAATATGATGTTGGCTGTCGGTTTGTCATAGATGGCTCATTATTTTGAGGCATGTTCCTTTGATGCCTAGTCTATTGACAGTTTTTATGAAGTCATGTTGGATTTTATCAAAAGCTTTTTCTACATCTATTGAATTTATCATATGGTTTTTGCTTCTCATTCTGTTCATGTGGTGAATCACATTTATTGATTTGCCTATATTGAACTAGCCTTGCATCCCAGGAATAGCTGGACTTGCTTTGCTCATATTTTGTTGAGGATTTTTGTGTCTATGTTCATGAGGGATACTGGTCTGAAGTTTTTATTTTTTCTTTTTTCCATTGTGTGTCTGTCAGATTTTGGTATCAGGCTGATGCTGGCTTCATAGAAGGAGTTAGGGAGGAGCCTCTCCTCCTCAGGTTTTTGGAATGGTTTCAGTAGGATGGGTATCAAGTTTTCTTTGTACATCTGGTAGAATTTGGCTATGAATCCTTCTGGTCCAGTGCTTTAATGGTTGGTAGGTTCTTTATTACTAATTCAATTTCAGAATTTGATATTGGTCTATTCAGGATTTCAATGACTTCCTCATTCAATCTTGCGTGATTTTGTGCTTTCAGGAATTTATCTATTTCCTCTTGATTTTTTAATTTGTGTGCTTAGAGTTGTTCATAGCAGTCTCTGAGGATGTTTTGTATTTCTGTGGGGTTCATTGTAATAATATCATCTTTGTTGTTTCTGATTGTGATTATTTGGATCTTCTCTTTTTCTTCATCATTCTAGCTAGAGGTCTATCAATCGTATTTATTTTTTTGAAAAACAAACTGGTTTTCATTGATCTTTTGTATGAATTTTCACATCTCTAATTCATTAAGTTATTCTCTAATTTTAGTTTTTTTTTTCTTCTGCCAGCTTTGGGATTGGTTTGTTCTTGTTTTTTTCTAGTTCCTTTTGGCGCAAAGTCAGATGGTTAATTTGAGACCTTTCTAACTTCTTACCGAAGGTGTTGAAGGTTATAAACTTTCCTCTTAACACTGCTTCTGTTGCATCCCAGAGATTTTGTTAAGTTGTGTCCCTATATTTATTAATTTCAAAATAAATTTACTTTCTGCCTGAATTTCTGTATTCTCCCACGAGTTAACCGGGAGGAAGTTGTTTCTTGGCTGTGCATGACTTTGGGCATATCCTCTGAGAGTGAGAAATAAGTTGTTTTCAAATTGTCTAAAAAGCACCACAAAAAATGTGGGTTACTTTTTTTCTTTAAGCTCTCTAAGCTGAATAGATTACATTCAATAAAGATTCATGGGGAAGTGGAAGTTCTGCAAATTTATTTGATCCCGTCTGCATGTTCTCCAGAGTACTCATCTGCCCTGACCCTTCGCCTCCTCACGCAGGGCTGTTACAGAAGTTCAGCTGTAGGAAAATCTGAGGACAGGGGAAAGCACAGGCAGAAATGTCCCTTCCCATTTGAATTTGTGTTCTAGATCTTTTGGGAAGTAAAGAGTTAAGGCCAAAAATTTGTTTCAATTTCTATTTACTTCTAAAAGCCCATGAATTACAGCTTCATTTCCTGTCCTCTTTTTACCCTTCTAAGACTTTCTTGTGATTGATTAGTCTGTCCCTGAAGGTCACATGTAGGTTGAACCCTTTTTATTGAAAAGGTGCAGCTGGATCCTTCCTCAGAAGAAAAAGGGACTCTGCCAGATATCAAAACAACAAATGTCACCAACCCCTGCCACCAAAACATAGAAGCTATCAGCCCTCTGGTATTTATTATTATTTCAGTTTATAGTGGTCTCACCAAGAGACACAGTTGCACTGTTATTATCATTATTATTATTTTGAGACAGAGTCTTGCTCTTGTCGCCCAGGCTAGAGTGCAGTGGCACGATCTCAGCTCACTGCAACTTCCGCCTCCTGGGTTCAAGCAATTCTCCTGCCTCAGCCTCCTGAGTAGCTGGGACTACAGACCCCCGCCACCACACCCAGCTAATTTTTGTACTTTTTGTTAGTAGAGACAGGGTTTCACCATGTTGGCCAGGCTGGTCTCGAACTCCTGACCTCAGGTGATCTGCCCGCCTTGGCCTCCCAAAGTGCTGGGATTGCAGGTGTGAGTTGCACTATTATTAGTTCAAGGTGATGACAGATATTGTGGTATCTTTATACTTAATATTTAAGATGCATACACGATATTTTCTATGGAAACAAACAATTGCAAGTGTGTTGTGTCTGCACACATGCATATGCTACCACTCACTCCTACTCTCTGTGATATTCACAAGAGCTCACTGACTCCATTTGATCAGGGTGTGCATATGGTGGGCACCTTCTATACGATGTGCAGTATGTAGATGAGGTTTGGAGGGTTGTGGCCTGTCTTTCCTCAATTTGGAACGCCTCTGAAGGGTCTTCTGTGACCTAGGACTTCCATGGGTTTTATTGAGACTTCAGGAGCCAACATACCACCTTTCAAATTCTTTCTCTGCTCAATCTGTTTTTCTCTGTCCTCTTCCACAGGGGTTGATCCTGAGACCACACCCAAGAAACTTCCTGCAAGCAAAACTACATTTCAGAGTATATCTCCTGGGGACCCAAACTGTGACCATTTTTAAACATTGCCTTACTCTGTACTCTCTGGAGTTGAATTCCTATCTAAACATCTAAACTTTCTCCTCTTACTACCGGGTCCCCAGCATCTGTCCCATTCTTGCAGGTTTGTTTTATGGTGTAGCCAACCATGCATCGCGTGCCTGTGTGCAGCCGTGCTGTGCTTTATGGCATGCACGAGCAGCTGAATTTCTGAAAATCGTCCAACTTGGGAACTTTTGATCTATCAGTCCTCTTTGTGTGTTGAGTATGGGCTGTAATTTTGGGGGCAGGCAAAAGTATATTGTATTGGTCAGTTTTGCTGTCATAATACCCACCGCCCCATCTTAGCATCTTGCTCAAGGACGTTTCCTGCTGATGTCTCATGTTGGTGGCAGCAGTGCTGTTAGGTGTCTTCTCACTCTAGGATCCAGGCTGAAAAGCAGCTCTGAGCTAGAAGATGCCATCCTCATAAAAGAGAACAAAGAGTAAGCATCAGCTCCAAGTCACATGATAACCTTTAAAGCTTCAGCCTGGACAGGTGTATATCACACCTGCTCTCATTTCACTGCCAAAGACAACTCATGTGACCCAGGATTACTGTTGGGTGACAGGGAAGCATTGCAAGTAACAGGCAATGAGTAGTTTGCATCATCCTTGTACAGCTTGTACATCCTTTTATTGCTTGGGAACAATAAAATGACATATCCAAAACACCTCTATCCAAAATACCACTCCCATATGTCTGTCACTGCCATTAAAATTCTCTGACTTTGAATTAAGGCACTGACTTTCCTGAAGGCTTCCATTAAAACACAAACATTTTATTCCTGAGAAGTAATGCATTTGTCCACCATCTTATTTACATTAATTATTTTAACCTCTTCATATTTTTGCTCCATAATGCAAAGCAGCAGTTCGAGTCTGAGAGGTTGACAGTGAGATGTAAAGAAGTATAAGTGAAATCACATTCTGTCTTCTTATGTGCCTAACCTATTTATTCTGGTGACATCTTGTTAAAATGATCCTCTTGAATTGCTTCCTAGAAAAAAAATAAGAAGTAAAACTTACATCATAAAAGTTTTATTATTAAAGTTCTCAGATTGTCTATATAATTACTAAAATTTATTGAATGTTTAGTACTTTTTTTTTTTTTTGAGTCAGAGTCTTGCTCTGTCACCCAGGCTGGAGTGCGGTGGTGCCATCTCGGCTCACTGCAACCTTCGCCTCCCGGGTTCAAGTGATTCTCTTGCCTCAGCCTCCCAAGTAGCTGGGACTATGGGCATGCACAACCATGCTTGGCTAATTTTTGTATTTTTAGTAGAGATGGGATTTCGCCATGTTGGCCGGCTGGTCTCGAACTCCTGACCTCAAGTGATCCACCTGCCTCGGTTTCCCAAAGTGCTGGGATTACAGGCATAAGCCACCATGCCCGGACTGTTTAATACTATTTTATTCTGCCTCCTTATATTTAATTGTCATAATATGCCTGTAAGATAGACATTATGATTTTCATTAGTTATAAGAAGGATTTGTAAAAAATTTTAGCAACTATATAATTCGTATGCCTTATAATTGCTGTTGACTGGGTGGCAGTCACATTCCAGTGGTCACTGCACAGGGAATCAGGATGGAGTATTGTTTCCTAACACATTCATGACTGATGCTCTCGGGTATAGAGAAAACAGGAGCATTGATGAAAGAGAGTGAGAAAAGTTCAAACAGTCAAACTTTGGATGTGACAAAATTTTAATAATACACTAACCTAGTCATTTCATATATATATATATATTTAGTTTTGCACAGCAGTGACACACAATAAACACCACTATTTTATTATTTATGCCTAGTGTTCCATTATTGGAACGCTAAGCAAATGGGGGTTGCATCCTACTGCTTAAGGTCATCGGCAAGGTCTGACTGCAAAAATTCAAAAAACTGCAACCTCAGGCATAAGTGGGTTAAGCTTAAAAGAGCTTTTCAAAAGTTATAAAAATTCTGATAAGAGTATTTTGTCACAATCTAATTGCTAAGTTTATTTTAATTAGTACATAAATGATAAGACTTACAATTGGTGGTAGCTTAGATTTGATGAGAAACACTTTTATTAAAGCCAATTTACAGCTGAGGAAACTAAGGTGCACAGAAGCTAAGTACCTTGCCTAAGGCCATAGAACTCAGGGTTTCTGCAATAGTCACTTTATTCCTTGTCTTTCCTAAATAACTGGGCTCCAGTTCTTTTTAGCACCACCTTCTCTGAAATGAGACGAAGGGAGCTGTAAAAAGAGTAGAGTATTGATTTTGACACAATTCTCTGTGTCCTCCAAACACATACTTTTCCACAAATTAATCAATGTGGTCTTCTGCAAGTTACTTAAAATACGTGAACCTACGATTCTCCATTAGTGTGATGACAATCACCACACCTGTGAGGATCAGGCGCTAACGTAATGCAACAACAGGAAATGTAAATAGAAACGTGACACGGACCCTGGCATCAAGTCCATGCTCCAGGAAGTCAGTTCCCTTCACCTTTCGTATCTGGAAACCTCAATGGGTCCTCATAGCCTGTCAATCAATATCTTTCATGGCTTACTCCTAGTCTGGCCAGGATCAGCCCTGCTTCGTACTGCACGGTTGAGAATGCTATGACAGCAGAGGCAGCTCTTATTTTTGATGACTGCAGGGCAAGTGTTACCTTAAGCTTCTGGCCAGAATGTCTCATTAGATGTTACCTGTAGAGTCGCAGAGCCACTTTCTTGAAGATCTGAACAAAAGTATAAATTCTGAAAAGATATTAAACTGTGCATTGCTCTAGTCTAAAATTCCCAAGTCAAGGTGATTGCCATGAAGAGAGGGACTTTGGAGAATTCAGCATGATTAGCTGGTGTAACTTTAGCTCTCAGTAGGGAAGCAATATCAGAGTGATCAAGGATACCCCAATAGAAATGCCATGGCCTAAGGCAGCACCAATAAATCTATCAACTAGCTGTTATTGAGTCTGTAATGTGTTCAGGATTTAAAATGAGCCCTGAAGAATCTCAGTAATAAGAAAGAACAGACAAACTTATGAGGAAATTTATATTCAAATGTCTGTTGTCTTCTATTGGTTGCTGATTTGTTGAGTAAAGACCAAAAGTATGTTAGTTACTCATAGCAGAGCTAATTAGCTAGCAAATGCTTCCCAGGGTATCTCAGAAGGGTAGAGATGATTTATTAAGGCTTAGGGCCTGAGAAAAGGCAGTGTTGGGAGATTGTCTGGTTCTTTCTTTTTTTTGAGACAGAGTCTCACTCTGTCTCCCTGGCTGGAGTGCAGTGGTATGAACTTGGTTCACTGCAACCTCCGCCTCCGGGGTTCAAGTGATTCTCCTGCCTCAGCCTCCTGATTAGCTGGAATTACAGGTGTGTGCCACCATGTCCAGCTAATTTTTGTATTTTCAGTAGAGATGGGGTTTTACCATGTTGACCAGGCTGATCTTGAACTCTTGACCTCAAGTGATCCACCCACCTCAGCCTCCCAAAGTGCTGGGATTACAGGCATGAGCCACCATGCCCAGTCTGGTTCTTTGCTTAGGTGGAGAACTCAGGCCCGGGGAACACAGAGGGCTCGCAGTGTGTGAAGGCAGCATCATATCAGTGGGGCAAGTAGGGCTCCGACATGGTTTTCTATTAAGTGTTTCTGTACGTTAACTTGTTTTTTAAAATCAGTTGACTCTCTCTGACAACATTGTTTGCTCATGTATTTAATCTGATGGGCAATTATTGAGCCACTGTCTACCTAAATACCTACTTAGTAATAGGATAAACTCAAAAGATTTGGAAGATCTATATTATGTCTTATTTCCCCAACGAAACCATGAGTTATTTTGTTCGTAAGGACTGGGCACCGTATGTGTGAAATACATTACAGATATACGATTAGATGTGATAACCTAAGGCAAATCACGACCCAGAGTGTATTTACAAGACTTGCCCCTCCTTTATTTCTTCCCTTTTGATGATTGGCGTCCTTTCCCTACGACGATTCCCACTTATGTCAGATAAAGCTTTAATTGCCTTTCTCAGACAACTCATTTATACTTAACAGAGTTCTCCAGTGCTGCAGAGGTCTCACTAATTATGAAGTTTTAGGCAAAATGGGGCAGTTGTTTCCTGGGGTGAGAGCAGATGGGGGTATCTGTTTCTTTCTCAGTACTCACTTGCTTGATGCTTGTCTACACTTCTGCTTATTATCAGTAGTGACAATAGAGTAAAATTGTCAACGTGAATTTAGCATTAGTAGGTGTTGGGGCAAATGGGGACTTAGAGATAATTTAATTCACCATGTTGACCAGGCTGGTCTTGAACTCCTGACCTCAAGTGATCCACCCACCTTGGCCTCCCGAGTAGCTGGAATTACAGGTGTGTGCCACCATGCCCAACTAATTTTTGTATTTTTAGTAGAAACGGGATGAAGTTTTAGGCAAACTGCGGCAGTTTTTCTACTTTTGAAATAAATAATTGGGGAGGAGAGATTGACCAGCTCCCATAAGCAGACGGCCCTCTGAGGACAACAGCCTCTAGTCCCTTTAACTCCCTGCTCTTGCCCATCCTGTGACCTTTCCACTCTTGCAGAAAAGGTAATTCAGTTCCTCTTTTAATTTCTTCTTGCTGCATTGGAAAAAAAAACAACTATAAATAAAAAGTGGGCTGTCAATATTCACAAAATCTGGACACGATCCACTCTTTCAGGCCCAATTTATATCTCCCTTCCTCGAAGAACATCTTCTGATTTATCTGGGCTTCAATGAACTTTATCTCTCTGGAGCATCTTTAAAATGTATATAGTCACTTCCACATAGGAAACGACTTAAGAATTATAATGTGGTGGACTAATTGTTGGTTTTGTCTTACTGATTGGATTGTAAACTTCTTAAGGGTAGTGAACCCTGTCGTCTGTATTCTTCTCAGGGCATGGCTGCACTGAGCATAACACGGCTGGGTGACCACATTGTATTCCAGAGGGCAGCTGCTAGGGGTCATACTCTCCTCTAATACGAGTAGACATGTTTCTTGCCTTCATCATAAGTTCTCAAAATCTGGCTGATTTGAATTTGTATTCTTCTACTATCCAGAGTTACTTGGTAGAAAAATGAGGACCCTCTAGGAATTGCTGGAGTAAAGAAACAAAGTAGGGCAACTATTTTCTGTAAGCGAGGCCCTAACGGCATTTAGAGACGGGAGAAGAGGAAGCCAAAAAATCTTCCTCAAGCTCAATTTCGAGGCCTCGGGAGGCACAAAGAAGTGTTGTAAGTTATTTCAATTACAGGAAGTAGGCTTAAAAAGCTAAATTAATAATTGACCATTTTAAATTATTTAAACCCGTAGTTCTTAACCTCTTTTGAATACTGGACCCCTCTGAGAACGAGGAAAGCTACAGATCTTATCTTGAAACAAATGGATATACACACAGACGTTTGTAAATAAACTCAAGAGATTCATGGCCACCTAATGGCCATCCGAAAGCCCTGAGCTTTGATGGCAGCAAACAGGGGGCTCATTTTCACTCTCAACAGCATTCCTGGCAGCAGATTTAGGATTAAACCACTGAAACCAACAGCCAGAGCTGATGCATGAAAAGATACTCTATCTTAAAGCCTCATAAGTAGCTTCTCATATGAAAAATGTTATTATTCTTTAGTGAGGAGGAGGGCTGGAGGAAGTGGCCTGCATTTTCTAGGCATTAAAGCCTCATATGGTGATCTGGGAAAGGCACTAATTTCTCCGAAGGGCTCTAGCAAGTTAAAGAAAACAGATATGGGCCAGGCGCAGTGGCTCATGCCTGTAATCCCAGCACTTTGGGAGGCCAAGGCGGGTGGATTACTTGAGGTCAGGAGTTCAAGATCAGCCTGGTCAACATGGTAAAACCCTGTCTCTACTAAAAATACAAAAATTAGCCAGGCATGGTGGCACGCACCTGTAATCCCAGCTACTGGGGAGTCTGAGGCAGGAGAATAGCTTCAACCCAGGAGTTGGAGGTTGCAGTGAGCTGAGATCGCGCCACTGCACTCCAGTCTGGGTGACAGAGCAAGACTCCGTCTCAAAATAAAATAATAAAATAAAATAAAATAAAATAAAATAAAATGAAATAAAATAAAACAGATTTAAGCCAACTCAGGATATATTTGGACCATTCATGCATTGACAGGTTTATTTCCCTTGGACAATCAGATTCCATAAGAATAGTGCAAGTTCAACCCCAAAATCCCGTTACCCTCTTCTCTGCAGATTTCTGGTTTCCAGTTTACAAAGGAATAAAAGTTTACCTCTCATGGTGGGGAATGAGGAGGGCCTAGAAAATGAGGTCAAGAACTTCATTGGGATGAGGATTGGGAGAGAGACAGAGACACCCTTTGTGTCAAGTAAATGATCTGGAGCTCAATGGAAGCCTTCAGGGGAAAGGAGGAAGATGTCACTCCAGGAACGAGGACATCCAATGCTAGAGCAAGAGTCTGCACCTCACAAGGAGCTGGAGAAACCCCTTCTCACTTCAAAATGCTTTGCTTGAACATTTTCAGTTGCAAGTGGAACTTCAATACAAGTGATTATTTATCAAATACATGTGTCATCTCGGTAGGGCTGAAAGACCCCCATATGAAAATGTGTCTTTATCTGAAACCGTAATTTTTTTTCTTCTTTGCCTTGCATTATTTTTAATTGACACATGATCATTGTACATGTCTATAGAGTACATTGTGATATTTTAATACATGCCTACAAAATGCAATGATCAAATCAGGGTAATGAGCATATCTACCACCACAAACGTTTATCACCTCTTTGTGTTGGGGACATTCAAAATCCGCTCTTCTAGCTGTTTGAAAATATACAATAGGTCATTATTAATTATACTGACGGTGCTATAGAACACTAGAACTGATTTCTCCTATCTAGCTGTAATTTTGTATCTGTTATTCAAACTCTCACCCTCCCTCTCTCCCCATTCCTCTTCCCAGCCTCTGGTAACCACTATTCTTCTTTTCTTTCTCCTTCCTTCCTTCCTTGCTTCTTTCCCTCTGTCCCTCCCTCCCCCCTCCCTCCCCCCTCCCTCCCTTCTTTCCTTCCTTCCTTCCTTCCTTCCTTCCTTCCTTCCTTCCTTCCTTCCTTTCTTTCCTTTCCTTTTGGTTTTTTCAGAGTCTTGCTTTGTCGCCCAGGCTGGAGTGCAGTGGCACAATCTCAGCTCACTGCCAACTCTGCCTCCCAGGTTCAAATAATTGTCCTGCCTCAGCCTCCCGAGTTGCTGGGATTACAGGCATGGGCCACCATAACTGGCTAATTTTTGTATTTTTAGTAGAGACAGGGTTTCACCATGTTGGCCAGGCTGGTCTCCAACTCCTGACCCCAGGTGATCCACCCACCTTGGCCTCCCAAAGTGCTGGGATTACAGTTGTAAGCCACTGTGCCCAGCCAACTATTCTACTTTGTACTTCTATGACATCAACTATGTTAGCTTCCACGTATAAGTGAGATCATCTGGTATTCATCTTTCTGTGCCTGACTTATTTTACTTAATATAATGTCCTTTGAATTCATCCATGTTATTGCAAGTGACAGAATTTTATTCTTTTTTATGGCTGAATAATATTCTATCATATACATATACCACATTTTATTTATCCATTCATCTGCTGATGGACACTTAGGTTGATTTCAATTTTTGGCTATTGTGAATAGTGCTGCAATAAACATGGCACTGCAGGTACCTTTTTGATAGTATATACTAATTTTCTTTTCTGTGTCCATATACCCAGTAGTGGGATTGCTGGATGATCTAGTATTTCCATGTTTAGTTCTTTGAGGAAACTTCATACTGTTTCCCATAGTAGTTGTACTGATTTCACATTCCTACTAACAATACTATAAAAGTTCCTCTGTCTCCGCATCCTTGCCAGAATTTGTTATTTTTGTCTTTTTTTTTTCTAATAACCATTCTAGCTGGGGTGAGATTATATCTTACGTAGTTTTGATTTGCGTTTCTCTGAAGATCAGTGATGTTGAGCATCTTTTCATATGCCTGTTTGCCATTTGTATTCTTCTTTTGAGAAATGTCTATTCAGATCTTTTTTTCCATTTTTTAATTGGATTATTGGATTTTTTTCCTATAGAGTTGCTTGAGCTCCTTATATAGTTGGTTATTAATCCCTTGTCATTTCCTTAGTTAAATGTATTTTGAGGTATTTTTTGGGTAGCTATTATAAATGAGATTGCTTTCATGATTTCTTTTTCAGTGAGTTAGGTTTATAGAAATGCTACTGATTTTTGTTTGTTGAGTCTGTGTCCCTCAACTTTACTGAATTTGTTTATCAGTTCTAAAGGTTTTGTGCTGGAGCTTTTAGGGTTTTCTACTTATAAGATCATATTGTCTGCAAAGAGGGACAATTTTTACTTTCTCCTTTTCAATGTAGAGAGTTTTTTAATTTTTATTTTTATTTTAAGTTCTGGGGTATGCGGGCAGGATGTGCAGGTTTGTTACATAGGTAAACGTGTGCCATGGCAGTTTGCCGCACCTATCAACCCATCACCTAGGTATTAAGCCCAGCATGCAATAGCTCTTTTTCCTAATGCTCTCCCTTCCCCACCTCCCTGCCCCTTATTTCTTTCTTTTGTCTAATTACTCTAGCTAGAGCTTCCAGTATTATGTTGAATAAGAGTGTTAAGAGTCGGCATCCTTGCCTTGTTCCAGTTCAGTTTCATCACATTTCAGTATGATGTTAGCTGTGGGTTTGTCATACATGGCCTTTATCATGTTGAGGTACATTCCGCCTATGCCTAATTTGTTGAGAATTTTTATCATGAACGCTGTCGAATTTTATCAAATGCTCCTTCTGTCTATTGAGATGATCATCTTGTTTCTCTCCTTTATTCTGTTGATGTGATGTATCATGTTTATTGATTTGAGTATGTTGAACCATCCTTGCATCCCTAGGATAAGTCCCACCTGATCATGGCAAATGATCTTTTTTTAATATGCTGCTAGATTTTGTTTGCTAGTATTTTGTTGAGGATTTTTGTGTCTATATTCATCGGGAATATTGGCATATAGTTTTTGTTTTTCTCTTGTGTCCTTGTTTGGTTTTGGAATTAGAGAAATCCTGGCCTCATAAAATGAGAATTCCCTTCTCTTCAGTTTTCTGGAAAAGTTTGAGAAGAATTGGTATAAATTCTTTAAATGTTCAGTAGAATTCAGCAGTGATTTTATCTAGTCCTAGGCTTTCTGTTTTTGTTTGTTTGTTTGTTTGTTTTAACTTTTACTTTAGGTTCATGGGGAAATGTTCAGGTTTGTTATATAGGTAAATTGTGTGCCATGGGGTTTGGTGTACAAATTATCTTCCCACTCAGCTAATACTGATTCAATCTTATTACTGTAATTGTTCTGTTCAGGTGTTTTATTTCTCGGTTCAATCTTGGTGGGCTGTATGTGTCCAGGAATTTATCCATTTCTGCTAGGTTTTCTAGTTTGTTGACATATAGTCGTTCATAATGTAATCTCTAATTGCATTCTGGGGGCGAGAGGTGGGGGAGGAGCTCAATATTTAAAAGAATACAAAATGTTCAGTATCTAACAAGTTAAAATTCACAAAGTATGGCATTCAATTAAAGATTACTAAACATACAAAGAAGCAGAAAATTACAGCTCATAATAAGGATAATAATCCATTGAAACTAAACAGGAAAAAACATTAATGTTAGAATTAGCAGAAAGAGACATTATAATCATTGTATAACTGCATTCCATGTATTCAAAAAGCTAAATAGAAGCATGGAAGTTACTTTAAAAAGAAATACATCAGGCCAGGCACAGTGTCTCATGCCTGTAATCCCAGCACTTTGGGAGGTGGAGGCAGGCAGATCACGAGGCCAGGAGTTTGAGACTAGCCTGACCAACATGGTGAAACCCTGTCTCTACTAAAAATACAAAAATTAGCTGGGCATGGTGGTGCATGCCTGTAATCCCAGCTACTCAGGAGGCTGAGGCAGGAGAATCACTTGAACCCACGAGGCAGAAAGTTGCAGTGAGCGGAGATCACGACACTGCACTCCAGCCTGGGCAACAGAGCCAGATTCTGTCTCAAAAAACAAACAAATAAACAAAAAACAACAAAAAAAGACATACATGACATTTCTAGAGACAAAGACTACAATATCTAAAATAAATACAGTGAATGGGATTAATGGCAGATTAAGCATTCTTAATTAACATTAGTGAAATTGAAAACACAACAATAGAAACCATCCAAAATAAAACTTAGACAAAGAAAAGATTCAACAGAAAAACCAATCAACAAATCATCAGTGAGCTTTGGGGCAATCTCAGCCTCCTATAGATGTGATCAGAGTGCCTAAAGGAAGGTAGGGGTAATAAAAGATAAATCTATGAAGAAGAAATGACTGACAAATTTCAACAAGGTAAAGGGATGAATTGGCCTTAAACAAAGTAGGACTCGGCAGAGAGCCTGGCAGGCCCTGGCTTCCACGAGGCCCGCACCATGGGCTCCGGATGCTTCTGGGCCAAGCATCCTCTCCTGTGTTAGTAGTTGGTTTTTCTCATCTCTACATTGCTATTTCCTAGGCACTCTGCCCAAGCCCCTGTGTCTTCAAGTTTATCAGGAAGGTGCCTGAGTGTCTCTCCTGCTGGTTTTCTCCCTGGGAACACTTTCTCAGCGTGGCGCCTCCACGGCGCCTGCTCCATCAGTCTGGCTGCCCTTGGACTCCTTGGCAGAGGGCCTCAGCTCCTCTGCGTGCTCCAGATCTGCCTTGGACAGCACCATCTCTGTGGCCACTTGCTGCTCCTTTCTCTGTGCTGCCTCTGCAGGGTGCCCTGCTGGTTCAGGGCCATGTTAATAAGCATCAGAAGTGGCTCCTTCCCTCCATCCCTCTCTACCACCTCCAGGTTCGCAGCTTGCTGAAAGCCAGCCATCCCTGAGCATCGTCCAGCTCTGCATTGATAATTGGCCCTAACGCTCTAGGGGGCTGCCTCAGCCTGAGCCCCATCCCTGCCCACTTGCTACCACCGCTTACTAGATTTACTCCTGAAGAGCTCAGTTCTCAAGCCTCAGTTTCCCTGAGGTGATCACAGCACGAAACTCACAACCTTCCAGCTCCCACTCTGGCTATGGTCCCCTCTGCTTGGGAATGCAGCAGCTCCTCCCCTGAATAATTAATTATTAGTAGGAATAGATTATTGATAAGTTAGTATTAATAAGTAATCACTTAAGCACAATTACAATGTGTTAGAAGCAGCAGAGGATGTGGACAGAGTTTATAACCGAGAGATCTGACCTCGTCTGAGGAGTCGCAACAAATTCCCTTGGAAGTGATATGACTGATAAAACATTTAAGATATTGGAATAAGAAAATGAAAGGGAGGACTCAAAGAGGATAAATTACAGACAGAGGAAATTGAAGAGTGAGAAGCTTGGCTTTTCTGAGGACCTGAAGGAGGCTTGTGTTGCTGGAGCACAAAAGATAAAGGGGCAGTAATGAGAGGTCAGATTGTGCGGGTCTTGTCGAGGCCAGACTTGAGTGCTTGGCTCCTGTCCTAAGAGCAATGGGATAAATCTTTGAAAAGCTTTAAACAAGGCAATAAGATGATTAGGCCCGAATTGTAATGGGATGACTACGGAATGGATTAGAGGTGCTTAAAACCATTTAGGAGACTTGCAGGACTCTAGATGCCTTGGACTGGATTAGGGGCAATGGAAAAAAAAAGAGGAAGAAAACGCCAAAGCTAACTGGGGCACAACCAACAGGGAGTCCCACCGCTCAGTTCGCCAAGCCCCGTGTCACTTCCATGTGAAATGATGGAGCTGAGACATAGGGTGAGGGTCGGGGGTGGGCACAGGGAGTGGGGGCAAGAAATGGAATCATTTCCAGAGCCTTTCTATCTGCGTGGAATTATTAAAGCACAAGAAAAATGGGAGAATCCAAAGGTCTGTACCATGAGGCGCCAAGTGGAAGGGTGTAGACCATAAGTTCCAGGAGAGATGGCCTTTCTTAGCAAGCAGGTGGAAGCTCTGGCTGTGGGAAGGTCTCCTGGAAGCAGTTGACTAGAGCCCAGCAAAGGCAGAAGAATTCGGTATCCTTTCTGACCACTGCCTTCATCTAGTCCCAGAAAATCAGTGTTAGATAGAAGAGATTCTCATTAAAATAAACAGAATTTCTCACCCATGAAGGGCGATTGCATTTTGGAGGCAGGGGAATAAAGAGCTTAGAGAAGCTGTGGGTGTTTAAACACTCATAAAACAACCATTTTCACTTCCCTCTTCACAGGTGAGCTCTTCTGCTCACTTACCAGTTGTACATGTGATGACCAGGCCCCAGGACGGGTCTGAAAAACCACAGTTAACTTGGGGTTTCCCCTCCTACTCCCTGGGTTTTGCTGTGGGCATTGGAAAATGTCTTCCAGAGACATGATAACCTTTCTCACTTAATCATTAAGCAATAGGAATATTTAGTTTTCCATTTTTTCCCCCTGTGTAAAGTCTACAGGTAATCCTGGAAATTTTTAAATTAAACTTTCACTGTAAGGGGTTCACTTATCTAACTTTATATCAGAATGTACAGTCAAGACCCATAACCCAAAAGCGTCTGTAATGGTTAATTTTATGTGTCAACCTGACTAGGCCATGGGGGTCCAGATGTTTGGTCAAACACTATTCTGAGTGCTTTTGTGAGATGATGAACATGTGAACTGGTAGAGAAAGCAAAGCAGGTCGTCCTCCCTCATGTGGGCAGGAGGGCCTGGAAAGAATAAAAAAAGACTGATTCTCCCTTCCTCTGAGTAAGAGAATTCTTGCTGCCTGTCTTCAAACTCGGATGTCAGCTTTATCCTGTCTCCAGACTCCAGCGGAAACATCTACTCTTTCTGGGCCTGGTGCCTGCTGGCCTTTGGAATGGAACTACACCATCAGCAATCCTGGGTCAGCTCACTTCGACAGATCTTGAGACTTGTCAGCTGCCATAATCATGTGAGCCAATCCCCTATAATATATCTCTCCCTCTCTTTCCCTCTGTGTGTGTATGTGTATGTGTGTGTCTGTGTGAATATATTTCTATATATGCATATATATAAATAAATATGGCATAAATATATATGCCTCTGAAGTATCTAACAATGTGTTTTCCTCTCCAACACCATTCATTACATGTTTTTGTTTTTTTAAAAATAATATGCTTCTTTTGCCCCCAGATCACAAAGCAAGGCAGCTTTCTGTTAGTCCACAGTGAAAACAGCCTTGGCTTTAATGCAGCAGCCTGAGAGAGGGCTTGGCTAAGACCCCTTGCCATCCAGGGCTCAGGCACAGGAAACTGGTTCTGTGCACAGTGGTGTTCAATTTCTATATCTCTCTTGCTTCTTTTCTTTTTAAATTATTACCCTTGAAAGAGTTGTGGAACTAGTGTACTCTGTTGTCCAAAAAGCAATGATTTCTTTTTTAAGGGAATATGCGTGTGACAGAAAATGGGGGCTCATCCTTGTGAATAGCTGCCACAGAGTTATTGAAAAATTACACTTCTCAGGCCGGGCGCGGTGGCTCATGCCTGTAATCTGAGCACTTTGGGAGGCCGAGGCAGGTGGATCACCTGAGGTCAGAAGTTAGAAATCACCCTGGCCAACATGGTGAAGCCCCGTCTCTAGTAAAAATACAAAAATTAGCTGGGTGTGGTGGCTCCTGTTTGTAATACCAGCTACTCGGGAGGCTGAGGCAGGAGAATTGCATGAACTGGGGAGGTGCATGTTACAGTGAGCTGAGATCACATCACTGCCCTCCGGCCTGGGCAACAAGAGTGAAACTCCATCTCAAAAAAAAATTACATTTCTCAGCGATTATTTATAAACCCATGAACCTGCTGAAATTGAAAGCATCCAGAGAAGCTCATGGACCAGTCTGCTAAGGGTCTCATGCCTCATACCCAACCTGGATGCATGATACCTGAGAAGGACCATTGCCCTCACGCTTCCTTCAAGACACTAGCCTCACTCTCATGACTGTGCTTTCTCAGAGAAGGTCTCTGAGGGGCCAAAGCTTTTACCTGGACTTCCCCTGTTTCTCTGTCATTTCCACACTGATTACCTGGGCACCTTTGTTGAAAATCATTTGATCATGTATATGTGGCTCTATTTCTGGCCTCTCTGTTCCGTTTCATTAATCTATGTGTCTATCTTAACACCAATTCCATATGGTCTCAGTTACTAATCTTTCCAGCTAGCTTTTGGATAATTAAATAATTTTTAATATTCCATTTGTGTTCTATAATGCGTTTTCAATTATTCTTCATTTTGTTATGAGTGGTTCTCCTAGTATTTAAATATTTCTCCATGAAACTCATTTACCACAAGCAATATACAACACTGTACATCTCTTTCCCCTTCTTGCCCTTTATTGCATTGCTGAGAGGCATGTAATTTCTACATATATTATAAATACCCTGATACATTGTTATTTTGCTTTTAAAAGTAAATTATCTTTTAAACAAATTTAAAAAACAATAAACCAAATATATTTTAAATTTAGCTACATATTGACAATACTTTTCTGTTCTTCACTTTAACATTTCTGTTTTAACATTTCTTGGAAGGCAGGTCTGCTAATGCTAAATTCTACCAGTTTTTGTTTGCCTGAAAATATATTTGCCTTCTGTTTTGAGGGATATTTTTGCTGGGTATAAAATTCTGTATGACAGTTTTTTACTTTTAATGCTTTAGAGAGTTTGTTCAATGTATTCTATCTTTCATTGTTTCTGAGATGTCTTCATTATATTTTATCTTTGTTTACCTATTTATTATTTTTTCTCTCCTTTTAAGATTTCTCTTTTATCACTGATTCTCATCAGTTTTATTTTAATGTATCTGATTTTATTTTCTGAGTGTTTAATCCTCCCTGTGATTTGTTGAATGTCTTAGGCCTATAGGTTTATAGTTTTATAAATCAAATTTGTGGTATTTTTAGCTGAAGTTTATTCAATTATTTTTCAGCCTCACTTATTTCTCTTAATTCAATTACATTTATAGTTGAATTTTTCCAAAGGTCACTAAATTTCTGTTCACTTTAATTTTCATTTTATTGTCCCTGAAATTTCATTTCATTTTATTTCATTTATTTAATCTATTTAATAGACTAAATTGCTGTGTCTCAAGATTACTGATTTTTTTTCCTTCTGCTATTTCTAATTGGGTATTAATCTTCTGTAGTGAGTTTTAAATATTATTTAAAAATTTTCAGTGACAAAATGAATTTTGTTTTTTAAATACCTTCTCTTTATATCATCTTTATTATTTTAATTTCTTGGACATATTTTAATTGATTTCTAAAAATATGTTTTTACAAATTTTATCATTTCTGTTATTTATGGTCCTATTTCTGTTTAGTGAGGTTTTTTCCTGGTCATGAGCCACATTTTCTTATTTGCCTGTCTAATTTTTAAATTTTGTGTTAGGCAGTATGAATATTATCTTGTGACATTCTAGATTTTGTTGTTTTATGACATTCTAGATTTTGTTGTTTTACTTTGAAGAGTTTTAAAGTTTATTCATTTTTATCATGCAAATAATTTACTTGTGACTCAAGCAGCTGGATCCTTTGGAGGATTTTTGTGTATCTTTTTTCATGTGAGTCTAGGATAGTCTTTATTCTAGAATTAGTTTTGCCCTAATTCTATGCCTGAGCTTTTTGGGGTCTCTGCTGTATACCCTGAGGCTCACCACAGTGTCTCCCTTCTCAAGAGCTTGCCCACCAAATTCCAAGGGCTCCCAAATCCCAATCTCAGCCTTCTCAATGTAGCAAGCCTGCTGTGCTCTGCCAGGTTGCCCACCTATGCACTGTTGTTCAGAGTAATTCCAGATACAAAGGCAGGGGCACGATGCAGCTTATCTTATCTGTTTTTCTTCTCTCAGAAACTATATTCCTGCACTGTCTCTTGTTCAACATATGAAAAGAGTTCTTTTATATATTTATCCTGCTTTCTGATTATTACAGCAAGAGGTCAATCTGGTATTAGTTGCTCCTGGCCAGAAGCAGAAGTGATCGTACAATTTTGTCTACAAAGATACCGCTTTGAAACATTTCTTTCTATGTCTTACTGAAAGATGTTTCTATGTTGGTGATGGCTTTATTATATGTATGTTTATTTTTGCTATTCAGCTACATAGAACACAAATGCACACATCACAAATTTTGCTTCCATCTCTCTCTCCTCAAAATGTTTTAAGCTACTGATAATAATAATCCTCTATATTTGCATGGTATTTCAGATTTCGAAAGTGCTTTCACATTCTTTAGCTCATCCGATTTTTAAAAATCTTTATGTAAATAAAAGATTCATTTGTCAAATCTTAAACTTAGATATATTGGGTGAATTTCCCACAGTTAAGCTACTAGTTGGTCAAGTCCCCGGCCAAGCCTTACCTAATGTCATATATATTTTGGATGTTGCATGTACCAATAACAAAGGGTAGCAATACGACTGCATTGTGATCTCATCGCAGACATATTAGGTTGTTTGAGATATTCTCAGGGTCGCATTAGACTTTTACCACCACTCCTACCAGGAAAATAGAGCTGAATAACTGGTATAAAAAACCAATCTTCTTCATAAATCAGTTTTTATTTTTGCACCACCATTGCAGTGAGGATATTATGAAATTTACAAAATGGGTAGGAGTCGCTGAGCAACATGATTGGTCAATAAGAGCACTCAGCCTGATGTATAACTCTTTATGCTCATACATGTAGACATCCATTAGCCACATTGCACTCCTTCATATTGTCACCCATAAAAAAGACAGAAAAGGTACTTGGGGAAAAGCTTCAACACTATTCTTATAACCTTTTTCCTGCTCTTGTAACTTAATGTAAATATACTACAGGCTTTCAGATGCCTATTGCAAAAAGAAGCTGAATGGACACTGCAGCTTCAGGGAAAATAAGGCACTGAATTTTAGACATTAATGTCGCCATCTTTTTGGAGACAAAATCAGAAAAAGTAAACTGAAAATATTTAGTTTCAATTATGAATCAGAAATGAAATAATAGGTTATTAAGAACTTAATCTCTGAGCAAAAATATCTTGTATGTATGCAAAATGGTATGAAATTAGTATTGCATTGGCTGCAGGGAAGGAGGATAAGGGGGTCATTAGTGAAGAAGCAGAAAGCAAAGTCCCCTTAAGAAGCTCACATTCACTCTAAAGCTATAATTTTCTCGTGTGAACATCACAGAAATAATGCAAGACAATGTACACTTGTTTGTGTAGATTATACAATGTATTCAATATAATTCAGAGAATTGAGAAATGCATGAGAATCATTTGAACAAAACTCACTACACAGAATTGAGTTTTGAACTGGAACTTATTTATAAGACAGGAGAATTTAGGATAAGAGAGCCTGACATCCATTTAGGAAAAGAAAGCCTGAAATGTAATAGATAGGTAAAGAAGAAAAGGCAGAAACCAAACTCTGTCACTTACTAGCTAGGTAATCATGGGGAAATAACGTTTTTAAATCTCAGTTTCTTTTTTTTTTTTTTTTTTTTTTTGAGATGGAGTCTCACTGTCGCCCAGGCTGGAGTGCAGTAGCGCGATCCCAGCTCACTGCAACCTCCGCCTCCGTGGTTCAAGCTATTCTCCTGCCTCAGCCTCCTGCCTCCTGAGTAGCTGGGATTACAGGCACATGTCACCACACCCGGCTAATTTTTGTATTTTTAGTAGAGACGGGGCTTCATCATGTTGGTCAGGCGGATCTCAAACTCCTGACCTCATGATCCGCCTGCCTCAGCCTCCCAAAGTGTTGGGATTACAGGCATGAGCCACCGCACCCGGCCAAATCTCAGTTTCTTTATCTGTAAAATAAATGGAGGTCATAGTACACTGCAGTGAAGTAGTTTTTCTGTCAGGATAGGCTAAGAACACTTCAGAAAAATAAAATCAAAATTCTCATTAAGTCAAAATGTAGTTTTATTCCTTATTCATGCTACATGTCCACCGTGGGTGAGCACAGAATGTTACTCATTGTCCTCCCTCAGGGGCCCAGGCTGACGCTGCAGCCATCATCTTAAATGCATTTAATCTTTGGGTCAGATAGAAAAGAGAGACTTGGAGGAAGATTTCAAGTCAGCAATTAAATGTTCAGCCTGGAAGTGACATACTCACAATTCATTGGCCAGAACTTGCCACACCTACCACAATGGGGCCAGGAGTAGAATCCTATCACATGTCTGGAATATGAAAAAATAAAAAACATTTTGTTTACAATATTAGTGTTTACTGCAAATAGGTTCTTTGAGGATTGTGTGAACCAGTACATATCAAGGTCTTAGCATCATGAATGAACCATATTGACTTCCCAGTAAATAGTAGCTTTTATAGTTATGAAGGCATGATCCTGTGACATTTTAGTAAATACAAAATCACATGCTGTCTAATAATTATTTTACCATATTATTTGCAATATGTGCAACTTTAAGATAAATTTTATTATAACTATTTTATAAATAAGAAAACAAAACAATTAAGCAATTTCCCTCATGTTACAGCTATTAGCCAGCTAAGTATGAACTGTTACCCATGGAAGTCTGACTGTAAATGCTATTTCCAGTATGCAGCATTGTCTTTATAAAACTTCCTTTTCAATTCTATGATCTGTATGAAATATGTGTTTTAGAGTTGTACAAGTGCATTCACTTCATATAAAAATAATATTTAAAAGTACATTTTACTAAATATATGTTCTACATTGCTAGACATTCTTATAGGTTCTATGGATTAAGAGATAAAAGGTCCCTGCCTTCACATTGTCCAAAGATCAATGGGGAAGATAAACAAATAAACAGAACCTGGCAATACTGTGTAGTAAGTACCATATCAGAAGATGTTACTGAATGCAATGGAAAAACAGAGGAGAAATAATTAGCCCAGAATAAATGTGTCAAGGAAAGCAGTGTAAGACAGATAATACCAGGCTGAGTCTGCAAAGTTTAGTGGAAGATAGTTGAGAAAAAGAGAATGGGGTGGAGGTGTGTGTTCCAGGCTCAGAAAGCAATATGTACAACAGCATGAGAAGTAGAAAGCAGGGCACAAACCAGGAAACCCAGCAACTGATTATGGCTGTAATATAGAGTGGGGATGTTGGTGAGGGAATTGCAAGAGCTAAATCTATGTAGAAGACATTGTAGACCTTGAAGGGCTTTCTGTGCTGTCCTGAGAGTTTTGGATTCTATTCTGAAGGCAATGAAGATCCATTGAATACTGTCAAGCAAAAAGCTGACATGATTAGACTAGCATTTTAGAAAAGATCATTCTAGCAGATGAGATGAATTTGAATTAGAAGGGGTTGGACCTGAGATGAGGAAATGAGGAAGGAGGCTTTTTCATTAATCATGGCAAAAGCTGTTTAAGGGTTGAACTAACACAGTAGAAGCGAAGACGGAATAAAGGAAATGTATACATGAAACACATTAAGCTTTTTTTTTCCCCCAGAGTCCCTGTGTTTGTTGTTCTCTTTGATGGGTCCACTCTTACCCAAGATATTTTCATGTATAACTCATGCTCATCATTCAAGTTCTACATCAAAGTCACCTTCTCAGAGTCCTTCCCTTACCGTCCCTATAATGTCAACCCTTTACTGTCCTTCCTGTAGCCACTAGTCCATTCGTAACTCTCTCTCCTCTATATTGACTAAAGGACAGCCTTTTGCAGCGTGTATCCTCATCTGAAATAATATTAGGCATTTGTCGATTGTTGTCTTCTTTCGTTTAGTTTGCTGGCATATTATCTAGAATAGTTGCCAGCATAGAAAAAGTACTCAAAAATTCATTCTAGAAATTCAGTAAAGCGTATTTATTAAATGGACAGTTAACAGACACATCAAAGTAGAATTCTCCAATATTTTACATACGGACCAAGGCTTCAGGATAGAAGCTTGATCTGAAGATATTTATTTGTAAGTCATTATCCCACAGAGAGGATGAAAAGCTCGTGTATCAGTTAAGATGCCTTAAGCTTCAACTATGAGAATACCCAAATAAAATTAGCACAAATGATAGGGATTTTATACTATTTTGCAGAAGAATAAGTTCAGACAGAGGTAGATAGGTACAGGGTTGGTTAATTTATCTATAATAAAGTCAGGGGGTCTAAATCAACTACTCTGTGATTGACAGACAGTTTCCAAAGATAGCTGCCTTTAATTCCTTCCTTCCATCTGTGTACATAGTTGCTCACATGAACATGTGTAGCCTATTTCTCTTTCCCTTCTATCATAATTGTTTGTATTTTTGAAAACATAGAGAATGCATCATTAATATTTACACATGTTACTATATGTACACTTTGCCTCGCTGGGAAAAAATAAACAAATACTGAATTCTAGTTAGTGATAAGTATGTTGAAGTGTTTAGGGGGAAGTATACTCATATCTGCAGTTTATTTAAAATGTATCAATAAAATAAGACTAATGGATGAGGAACGATTACATAGCTATGTGGTAAGACAAGCTAACACCACGTTAATGGTAGAATCTAAGTGGTGGGGAAATGAATGTTCAATGTAGGATTCTCTCAACTTTACTGTAGGTTTTA
This sequence comes from Homo sapiens, assembly GCF_000001405.40. NCBI lineage: Eukaryota > Metazoa > Chordata > Mammalia > Primates > Hominidae > Homo > Homo sapiens. The sequence goes on from NC_000007.14 coordinate 153,649,083, forward strand.
TTTTGTTATAATAAAATGTTGGAGAAAATAACTGGCTTAGGTACCCAAATGCTCAATTTTGTAAGACTTCTCTGGGTAAAATGTGTTCCCAGTAAAGCCACCAGCATCATCTTTTAACAGTCTGCATATAACAATACTGAGCGTACACTGAGTGTCTCTTCAGTGCTGCTCTATCAGTCTGGTATGTGGTACATAAAATTCTGGAATAAATGGGGCATAGATCCTGGCCTTGAGCGGCTTACAGTTTGGCATATCATTAATAACAATGAAATGCTAGAGTTTCTCTTATAGAAGCATCGATAGGGCACGAGGGTAATAAAGAGGTGACATTGTAACCAAACGAATGAATTTACTTTGGGGATGAGGTTTGACACACAAAGAAAAATTAAACCAGATAGGGAAGAGAGGAGGAGGTGAGCAGGAAGGAAAAGTCACGCCAGAGGAGTAGCATATGAGGGAGGATGGTTTGGGTAACTAAAATATTGACTGTTGCTAGAACAAAAGAAGATTAAGATGAGTGCTGAGGGATGGGATTTGAAGGGTAGAGAATGACCACCTTGTTCAGGACTGATGGACAAACAGTGGCATTTGCATGTCAGGAAAATGCAGATTGATAAATGTTGAGAAAGATCACATGTAAATGATCATTAGCTTGCCAATTATGCAGAACGGCAAGGCAGATTAACTCTTTCTTTAATAACAGATAAGGAAAAACCTTAGATATGTGGGAAGAAAAAAGAACTAAAAAGCCAATGAATTCTTCCCACACATAAAGTTTATTTCCATGAATGTTGAGACATGGCATTGGTTGTGCCAGAGACTTAAGGTATCATTTGGATGTAAGTATGGTGATTCATTCATTCACCTTCAGGTAGAGAATCATTGCTTCAAAGACGAGAAATATTAGCCTGAGCAATATTAGCAAATTGAGGTTGTATTTCCGAAGTCCTACAGGTTCCAGACCTCCCATCTAAAGAAGAGCTATTTGTTGCAGTAATCTGAAATTCTGTCAGATTTGCAGAGTTAAGCAACTGGAAGTTTAAATTGAATGAACATTCTGGTAATGGATAGATGATCAATTTTAAATAAATCAGAGACCAAATATAAACACTTAACACTAAGATTGAAGGGAAATTTGTTCCTCCTCCAATCATTCTAGTTATGAACATCAAGGTTCATAATGAGGCAAACTGTGAAACCCATGCTTTATTTCTGTTTTGTTTTTTTGGTGGTGCAGGTACCATAGAAACACTAAACTACCAGCAAAGAGGCTTCAAATGCAAATAAACACTTGATAGAATGCCCCATAAACTAGGGTTTACTGTATTTGGAAAACATGAATAAAATCACCACAAATAAGTTTTATGTTATGGAATTTAAATATCTTTTTAATGTTTCTGAGAAAGAATGAGGTAATTTTAGATACATCTGCCCCTCCCTGCCTCAGGCTTTTACTTCTTTAATGCAAAAATAGAAAACATTCTGAACAAATATATGAATGGCTGTGTTTTTCTACATATTTAGAAGGAAATTGCTTAATCCATCAAGGTATTTTCCCTAGGAAAATCGCTTGGAAGGGATTGTCCATGTCTTTTGTTTTTGAGAGATGCCAGCATGGTTTTGCAAATTGACACATACTTTCCCAGTTATCTCTGGAAGGACGTTTTGACCGCTGCTCTTTGAGACCTGCAGTGACTTTCCATTCTGCAGAGTTCTTCCCCTTTCCCTACCGCACAGCGCTTTTTACTCTACTTGTCGGCTTATGTCCAAATATAATCTCACCAGTGTGGAAAGGTTTGACTGGTGTTCCTTTCGAAATACTCTTCCTATTTTCCTCCCTGAGGCATTCTTACCCCTCCATCACTGCCATTTCAGTCACGAAATTCTATCACTAGAGTTAACTTAGGGTGATCTACCGCTAATTCCCCTTTCCCGCTCTCCACCTGGAGAATTAAAAACCTCCATTTTGAAATTAAACCTCCAATTGAAAACACCAAGAAGACCAAAGTGGGGGGCATTTTACACTCTTTATACCATTTTATTTGCTATGATCTGGAATGTAATATCCCCCCAAGACATGGAATTGAGGACGTGACCCTCAATATCCAATCAGATATCAACTTTAAAATGTCTACTTAAAAATTAGAAGTTGGTCCTGAAATTTTTTGCAAAGTCAGAAAGTAAGAAAGTGAAAAGAAAATAAAAGGGATAAGAGCTTGTCAAAAGGTGATAGTACCCAACTTGAAAGAGTTCCCAATGACCAAACCAGGAACAATCAGAGAAAGAAAATAAACACTGAAATTATTTCAATATAATTCAAAGTATAAATCATAACTTGTGAATCTATATGGACAAGAATAAATAATCGAATAAATAAATGAATGAGGAATAAAGAAAAATTGTTCCTTAAAGAAGATTTCCAAGGAAGAAATGTGGGAAATAGAAAATCATCATTAGAACACTAGAACAATAATTGTTTCAAGCAAGATCCTCTGATGAATGCTAAAATTAGTAAGCAGAAATTTAAGGTGAAAAACTTTATGTAGCTTCAATGCATCTCCCACAAAATATGTATTAATTACAAAGAGAAAAGTAATGCCTTCACAGTTGAGCAGTCTTGAAGATAACACCTTAACCAAGTGATCACTTTGATTACTTACTAATAAAATATATTAATATCATATTAATATAATATGCCCCTAATATAATACACAAATTAAGCAAATCATAATAATGGCACATCATCCTTGTGAAATTTCCCCCTAACATCTGTAACTTCAATTTAATCATGAAAAAAAATCAGACGAATCCAAATTGAAGAATATTTTATAAAATACTTGACCATTATTCCTTAAACGTGTCAAGGATATGAAGGACAGACAAGGAAAAGCTGAGGAACGACCACAGATTGGAGAAGATGATGGAGACATGCAGCCAATTACAACATTGTATTAATTCATTTTCACACTGCTGATAAAGACATACCTGAGATTGGGCAATTTATAAAGAAAAAGAGTTTTAATGGACTCACAGTTCCACATGGCTGAGGTGGCCTCACAATCATGGTGTAAAGTGAAAGACACATCTTACATGGCAGCAGACAAGAGAGAATTTGTGCAAGGAAACTCTTATAAAACCGTCAGATCTTGTGAGACTTATTCACTATCACAAGGACAGCATGGGAAAGACCTGCCTCCATGATTCAAGTACCTCCCACTGGATTCCTCCCATGGCATGTGGTAATTGTGGAAACTACAATTCAAGATGAGATTTGGGTGGGGACATAGCCAAACCATAACAAACATAAAATTCTGGATTGCATTTTGGATTCAAATAAAAACATTAGCAGAAAAACTGGTAATATCTGAATAAAGTTCATCATTTACCTAATATATACCAATGTTGATTTCCCTGTTTTGACAATTGCACCATGGCTATGGGAGATATTAACAACAGGGGAAGCTGAGTGAAGGGAATACCAAAAATCTGTAATATCTTTGCACATTTTCTAAAAGTTTGGCATTATTTCAAAACAATAAGCTTTTTTTTTAAAAAAATGTAGGGTATTCCTGAGACTAGAATGCTCTTTTAACATTCAGGTAACATGGAGGGGTTATATTAAGCTTAAAGTTAGCCATATCAGCTAGGTCTTTGTCACATAAACTAAAGGTCCTGACTCTATTTTTGTGCAATTGAATTTCTGTGAACTTAATTGCAAGAGCTTCAATTTATCATTATTAAAAAATCTCTAGTGGGGGAAGGAGGGATGAATAGGTGAAAAATGCTCCATTCCCCACCTATTTTTAGAGCAGTGAAGCTATTCTAATAGTGGCACATGACATTATGGATTTGTCAAAACCCATGGTACACGCAATACCAAGAGGGAACTCTAAGGTAAACTATGAACTTTGGGTGGTAATGATGTGCCAGGGTAGGTTCATTCATTGTAACAAATGTACCACTCTGGTGGGAGTGTGAATGGTGGCAGGGTGGGGGGGCTGTGCATGTGTGGGGGCAGGGAATATACAGGAAATCTCTGCACTTTTCACTCCGTTTTTCTGTGACTCTAAAACCGATCTTTAAAAAAAAAGTCTAGCAATATAAAAAAATTATAATCATTATAGCTTTAACTAACTATTTTAGCCAAATGAGCTCTTTTTAAGTGCTGAGTCTGTTATTCAACATATGTATTACTATTCTTAGGAGGAAAAATTATGAAAATTTTAAATTACACAACTGAATTTTATAATATAAATAAAATATATATCATTTATAATCATATAATATATTTATATTATGGTATAACTACCACATTCATATTTTCAAACTTGGCACTTTCAGGGGGTTGTTTTTGGAAGACAGGGCTAATGTTCATCTTGCAAGCCATTACATCTATGAAGCACTTAGTGATTTACTGTGTTTTCACAAATACTATGCCGTTTGGCATTCACAGCTGCAAGCAAACTGCTGCACCATGCTTTTAGAATACAGAATTATGACATTGTAAGAGAAGCATGATGGGATCTATGGCATAGGATCATCCACCAAGTAACTGTGTTGATTGGAGATTGTGATGGACCACCACATGCCTCTCCAGATCACTCCCTTACGTTTGCTACCCAGGAGAGCCTTTAGAAGAAATGCTGACAGGGAGGGAGGAGTTTCACACTTTTGTTTACACATAGAAAGGGCAGACCCCTAATTATTAAAACAGTACACAAATTGGAGGATTGGAAGGGGACTTAATGTAGGATTGAATTTCCCAATCAAGAAGAAAATAAAAAGAATCTCCCTTCCAATATTGTCAATGGGCAGGCACTGAGCTTTGGAAAGAACATTTCCACTCATGGGTAGTTCTCTGCTCTACAAGGGAGTCCAGTCCTTTCTTAACACGTTTAGCCATTGATCCAAAATGTGATGTCCTATTAATAGTACCCATTGTTTTCATTTTCCTTTCTGGAGCTCTACAGTATGTTTAATTCATATTCCATGTTCAGCCTTTAAAGAGATGAAAGCTGATAATATTTCTTCCCTCGTTTCCGTATTTTTCTTTAGTAGATTAAAAATCTCCAGACTCTTCAACTATACCTGATGTGATATGGTCTTTTAATCTGTGCTAATTTACCCTCTCCAAAATTCCCAAAAGTATGGAAAACTTCTGGTCATTTTCACTATGTAAGCCAGCCTGTAACAGCTCACCTCTGAGCTTTTAAAAACTTTCAGTTTTGAAGTATTCTGGATTGCAATTTGTACTTACTCTTTTATGCTACAATAAATGTTAAAATTTTCTTTGCTGATTTGACTTGATTGTTGACAGTTTCTGGTGTCAGACGTGGGAGCCCAAGGAGCTCCCTGATGACCCTCAATCCCTCAAACCCTCAAGACCCTCAAGATCCATAAGCAGGTGCCAACACCCAGAGAGCCTGTTGTGCTTACTCCTTCCTTGCCAACCACAGAGCTCATCTGATGAGGCCCTCTTGGATCTGAGCTCAGCTCTCTTGGTGCTTGACCTCTCCACTTGTAATATATAAAAGTGTTATTTTCAGTTTGCTTGGGTTAGCTTAGGAAAGTCACCTTTTTCTGTTCAAAGTGGGAGGATCCATGTTTCCCTGGATGCCAGAACAGTAGCTACTCTGGATAGACTTCCCATTGCTTATTTAGCATTGCAAGAAAACAAAAAGGCAGAATAGCATCTTCCCAGTCCAAAGCACCCCAAAATTCTCCATCTAAAACTCTGGCTGGTTATGTGGTTAAAATCTGTGGACTCAGCAAGGCACAGTGGCTTGCGCCTGTAATCCCAGCACTTTGGGAGGCTGAGGCGGGTGGATCACTTGAGGTCAGGAGTTCGAGACCAGCCTCACCAACATGGTGAAACCCCATCTCTACTAAAAATACAAAAATTAGCCAGGCAAGCAACTGTAATCCCAGCTACTTGGGAAGGTGAGGCAGGAGAATTGCTTGAATCTGGGAGGTGAAGTTTACAGTGAGCCAAGATCATGCCACTGCACTCCAGCCTGAGTGACAGAGTGAGTCTCCATCTCCAGAAAAAAAAAAAAAAAAAGCCTATGGACTAGGCTCTTTTACCTTTCTAGAGAAGTGAGTGAACTTTACTAAGGATAATCTGGAATTGCAATGGCTACTTTGGGGAAACTTTAACTTGGATAAAAAGATAGCTCATCTTAAAGATGTCCTTGAAAAGGGGGATATAAAAGCTCTCAAAAACAATGGAATACTTCTTTTATTGGGATGGAGAGGATTCTAAAAGACAAAGTGGTTCTAAGATAGCTTCTTCACAGGATTCTTGCAGCACGCTAATGAGAAATTAAACCCTTAATTCAGATGGATCTGATGGAACTGACAGAATCACACCTTGCCAGACCCTCTGCTCCTTTCTACCCTCCATTGCCTGATTAAGCCAAACCTACTAATCCTCTTGATCCTGTCCTCACCTCCCAAACTCCCCCAACATCAGATGCCTTCTAAAGTAGGATATTCAAGTAAGCCAGAGATCCCACCCTCAGAGGAATGTAGTCTGGTTTGGAGCTGAGCTTCAACCCATTATAAAAGATTTTCCAGAGCCCAAAAGGACCAAACTAAATTTACAGGAAAATTTGAAATTCTCCTTGGTGCCTATGATTCTGCATCTTCTGATTTATATAAAATTATCCATACAATAGCAAATCCAGGAGATACTCAAAATGGCTTCAAATAATAGGTTGGAGAAAGTCTACCAAAGATTTTGAGAACCCTACTAAAGATACCTGCAGAGACGAAACAAAAAGAGGCAAAAAATTAATCCAACCGCTTCTTGAAGCAGTTCTCAAAATTTTTCTTGTGAGAATAGACTGTGCTATAACACAATCTTTTAAACAGAAAAGGGGTAAACTGGTGGCAGATTTCCAGACTTCCACATTAGTTTAGAAGAGATATTCAGACAATGCTCTGGCCTCAAAGATCCTGGGACTGGTATTGCTACATCTGCTCATTTATTTAGCTAGCTTTGCCCAGAACTCTGTAATTTACCAGAGAAACCTAAGTCAGAATGGAAAATCACCCCCTCCCAGAGCTTCCCTGTCTTGCTAAATATTTCAAAAAAAGCAATAGAGCAGGGAAAAAGCTATCAAGCAAATAAACTCATGGCCTTCCAATTATAACAATCACAGGGACCTTGGTTCAACTTCAAAAGATCCACCCCCACTTAAAATTTTACCCCTATTGATTGAGATGTCTACAGAAACTGTCAACAAAAGAGACACTGGGAAAAAAAAATCCCCTTTTAAATCATGGGCCGATTAAACATCTTAGTTGCCCTGTAAGACAGAATCATGAAGCTAATCAGATTCTTGTGTTGACTGTCAATATTGACAAAGCTCCAAGGAATCACCTAGTTAATTTCAATAATTTATTTCAATCAGTAAGGAGAAACTAAACTTGAAGTAAATGGGGGAAATGTGTATTGTTTTGGTAGATATCAAGGCAACTCTACATTAAATCCTACAAGAATACATCAAAATCTTCCACAGAGTAATAAAAATATCTCAATGGTGGGCATTTCCTGTCAAGTTCAAAGAGTTTATTGAAACCCATAACTGTCACCCTTGGCATCTTCCCTTAAAGTTACACCTTTCTCTTATGTGATACTACCCCTGTAAATTTCCTCAGTAGAGAAAGAAATTTATTTTGATTTCTTACTTGCTTTTCAAAGTAAGAGGTCAAATTAAATTTTCTCTAGGAAAAATAACCTTAGTTACACCAGATTCATCAGACATTGAAATGTTGTATGTTCCCGGGTCCGAATTGATTGTCCTGAGGAGACTGTTAAAGTCCGTAAAAATATAAATATTATAGATGTCTCTGAAATTTCTGTTAGCTATGGACCTCTTCTTCTACAAATATAGAAAAAAAATTAAAAGTGCCAGACATATTAAAATCCAGAATGATCTTTCAAAACCATGTCCTAGGTAACCTTGGTATCCCTTAAGACTTGAAGAAATACAAGGACTCACTCCTATAATAGATGTAATTACACAGAACCTTTGTCCTCAGACAGTGTTTTCAGCATCCAGAGATGGACACTCAAAGCAAAGGCTGCTGCACACCTGACAACCCCTCCCACCCACACTCCTCATGTCAGGTAGAGCCCTTCCTCACAAGGCAGGTTAGAGCCCCTTGTCACAGCTCATCATCTCACTCTTTTGAATTTAAATAAAAAATGCCAGCTCCCTATCCCCGACCTCTCCCACTGTTCCATGACCAGTTGAGGTTCACAGGCCTTAGTCAGAACCTGGCCCCCCGCTGAGACCCCATTCTCAGGCATCCTGCAAGAGCCCGTCTCAGCTAGGTTTCTGCATCCCTCTGGATCCTACTCGGAGTTACAGGCAGGTGTATGGGCTGGTGCAAGGTGGAGACAGGACCTTTAGTGGAGGCTTTGTGAGTTAATTTTGAGTGTATGAAGCTCACCTCCTCCTCCCCAGAGGCCGGTTACAGCTCTCTTCCCACTCTTGCCTTCTCTGCTTGTCACAGGACAAGGGTCTGGCAGATTGCCCACCAGCTAACGACTGGAGACAGCTCTGCAATGCACTGGGCTTAAAGTACAGTAATTGCTTAAGAAATACTCGTGGATGGCTGTCTGCACAGTGATCAGAAACCCATTCTTTAAGACTATTTTTGACAACAGAAATTTCAAATGCTTTGTTAATCCAAAATTTCTACTATTCTCTAAAATAGAAGGAAATCAGGAGAAGAAAAGGAGGGAGAAAGCATGGGTTAGTAATCAGCACTTGCTGTTTCTGTTTCTTGGTGTTCGCGGCAGCCACTGTGTCACCTGGCTGGAGTGTCACTGAATTGAGTGCAGTCTGGACGTGATGGATCAGGCTCTAAGGTCCACTGTGTATCTTCAACCTGTCCTCCTGGCCCAGCAGACGGGCCTGTCCCTCCCTTCTCCCTGTAGTTAGCCTCTCTGCACACATCCCGTCACACCCCGGCCCAAAGGGTTCCTCAAAAATGGGTAGCCATGTTGGGTTTAATAAGAAAATGTGGAAAATAAGTGTTGGTAAAGAGGTGGAAAATTGGAGCCCCTGTCCACTGCTAGTGGGAATATAAAATGGTGCAGCCATTGCAGAAAATAATTTGGTGGCACCGAAAAAGGTCCACGTAAAATTATCATGAGACCCAGCCATTCTGCTTCAAGGTATACACCCACAAGAACTGAAAACTGAGACTCAGATACTTGTACAGCAAGGTTCATTGCAGCATTAAAAACTGGGACTGAGGTGCTTGTACAGCAAGGTTCATTGCAGCATTAAAAACTGGGACTCAGGCTCAGGTACTCGTATGCCGAGGTTCATTGCAGCATTAAAAACTGGGACTCAGGCTCAGGTACTCATACACCAAGGTTCATTGCAGCATTAAAATCTGGGACTCAGGTACTCGTACGCCAAGGTTCATTGCAGCATTAAAAACTGGGACTCAGGTACTCGTATGCCAAGGTTCTTTGCAGCATTAAAACCTGGGACTGAGGTACTCGTACGCCAAGGTTCATTGCAGCATTAAAAGCTGGGACTCAGGTACTTGTACGCCAAGGTTCATTGCAGCATTAAAAGCTGGGACTCAGGTACTTGTATGCCAAGGTTCATTGCAGCATTAAAAGCTGGGACTCAGGTACTTGTATGCCAAGGTTCATTGCAGCATTAAAAGAGTAATTACTATCTAAATATACAGAAACTCCCAATTCAGTAACAATTTATTCTTACATTTTTCTGTATCTTCAAATAATAGATACAGAAACAAAATTACCACAGATTTCTTGACCCCCAGAGCTTCTGATTCTAGGATGAAGTCCAAAGTTTTGCATTTCTAACAAGTTCTCAGGTGATGCTGATGCTTAAGGCCCAGGTACCACACTTTTATAAACAGGCTTTCAATAATGAGAATTCAGAAATGGCAGCGTACAGCATGCTGGGATTTGAAGGGAATGTGGAGCAAATCTGTGAACTGGATAGGATCAGGTCATAAAACCACACGATTCTAAGTGCTGGGCATTTACTGTTCTTTTCCGTGCTACATGCTGGTCAGTCTTCCAAACCAAGGCATCGCTCTCCCATAAAACACATCCGAATGGAGAGTGGGGGATCCTGGCTCCTCCACTGTTTCTCTTGGCCGGGAACAAGCTCTGCCCTGGGCTTGCCCTGCCCTCCCTGGGCTTGGTTTGCACAGGCAGCTTCCCACACACAACTTCTCTCCACAGGTGGGCTCATGCCCAGCTAAAGGTTCAGAAGACAGAAACCAGTGGGCTACTCCCCTTACCTTCAAGACTGTGAAAGCTAAGGATCAAACCTGACTGAGAAGGCCAAGGCGGCCACATGCTCACTGTGGTCCCTGTCCCCTGATAAAGCTTGCCGAATGCCTGGATTCCAAGATGGGAACAGGGCAATGGACAGACCGAAGGGCAAGACCAAATGTGGGCTGTCGCCTGCTGCCTTTTCACTGTAGTCTCCCCTTTGGAGTAAATATTGAAGATACAGAGCGAATGCTATGTACAGGAGACAAAGTCTTCCTCTTCAGGGAAGGAGGAGAGCGAGGGGAGGTTGGTAACCACCCTTACGCTCAACACACACAGGCTCACTCACGTGCACAACACTCACGTGCACAACTCTCGGAGCTCCTGAGGGTGACTGCCTGTTATTACACATTACATTTGACGAGCACATTCTCAATCTGCGTCAGTTCAGGATCATGTGAAAGAAATTATGTTTTTACTCTCATCAAAACAAAGGAATTAATTTAAATTACTGTGTCCCTTCTAAAGATCTGGAAACAACCTTGATTTTTTTCCCCAGGAAGATACAAAGAGAGAAACAATAATAATCTGATTTACACGTCAAAGTATTTTTTGGGGGGATATCATTGTTACTTTGTTTTGTTTTAATTAATCTCTTCAAAGGACCGTGGAGGAGAAATGGTGAAGCCTGAGTTGAGAACTGAAACCGAAAAGGCACCTTTTTTCCCCTCTCTTTGATATCATAAAGTATTTACAGCTATTAAAATTAATTTCTTATGTATTCATTTAATTATATGTATTGAGTGTCTACTATGTGCTGAAGCTATGCTAAGAACTATGGTTACAAAAGTGAGGAAAATCAAGCCTGCCCGTGCTATCAGCTTACAGCCTGATTGTACAATGACCGTAAAGTCAAACTGAAGGAAAATGTGAAGCAAATTTGAGAACTAAAGATGATCAGATGATAAAACTTCACAATTCTAAGTACTGGCCATTCACTGTCCTTTTTCATGTGGTATACTGGGCTGTTGTCCAATACCAAGGTATCATTCTCCCATAAAGCACACGTGTTTTGCTCTATGAGAATGTATTAAAAGAAGATTTAAAAATAAACAAATAGGCCTGGTGCGGTGGCTCACTCCTGTAATCCCAGCACTTTGGGAGGCCGAGGCCGGCGGATCACGAGGTCAGGAGATCGAGACCATCCTGGCTAACATGGTGAAACCCCGTCTCTACTAAAAATACAAAAAAAAAAAAATAGCTGGGCATGGTGGCGGGCGCCTGTAGTCCCAGCTACTTGGGAGGCTGAGTCAGGAGAATGGTGCGAACCCAGGAGGCAGAGCTTTCAGTGAGCCGAGATCGCGCCACTACACTCCAGCCTGGGTGACAGAGGGAGACTCCGCCTCAAAAAAAAATAAAAATAAAAATAAAAAATAAACAAATAAAATATGTTTATAAAAAAGGATTTAACCTTGACAGAAATTGCAGAAAACACATTCCTGAGGAAATAAGCTGGAACCCTGAAGGTGTGTGTTTGTGTCTGTGCAGGTGTTTGCATGAGGGTGTCACCTGCATGGGTATGTGTGCTCATAGACCATGAGAGTATTGAAAGGAACGCCTTAGAAAGAGACAGCAGCATCGGCAAAGACCCATCATAAAGGAGAGGATGCAGATTCTGCACATGTGTCCCAGAATTTAAAGTAAAATAAAAAATAAATAAAAAATATTCTGGTTAAGTGTATCTTTCTCTATGTGTATATATAGTTTCATATTTTGGTCACCAGGGAACCATATGCAAAGTGATATGCATAGATATATGTGAGTTTCACTTAACACGTTTCTTTATGAAACTGAAGACTCCTATATATATATATATGCACCATTATAAATCATACACAGATAGTGATATATAAAATATAGTAAAATGTGTTTAATACCAAAAGTACAATAAAAATAATACAATGTTTTCTTGCTAAAGCACTTGAGGATCTATATTTTGAGTCCACCATTATAGATGTCAATTTTCTTTGCAGGCCCCTCTACATACGCGAGGTTTGGAAATGGAAATAATGTATTACATAATAGAAAATATCTAAAACACCAAAATAAACTTTACTGTTAGGATGCGGCATGGCTCAAAAAAAGAAAGAAGAAAAGGATGACCTCCAGGGACTGAACAAGGACAGTATTGAGAGTGTGCAGAGAATATGGGCATGAGATAACCGGAGACGGACCTTTCAATATGGGTCTCCATGTTCAGTGTCTTTGTTCTTATTTTATATATTGAAAGAGGAAAGCCACTGCCTTTCTGTTCGTTCCTTATCTTCTCAGCCTCTAAAAGCTGACATTAGTAGTAGTGGCATAAAGCAGCCATTCTCAAAAGTGTGGCATAGGAACCCCTGGGGTTCCTAGAGACATTGGTTTATGAGAGTCCATGATGTCAACATTATTTTTATAAAAATACTATAATGTCACTATTTTTTTCTCATTGTCTCATGAGTATACAGTTAAAAGTTTGTGAATACATTTTTTGTTTCCCCATTGCAACTAACCTTTAAGAAATTACCATCTGTTTCTTATTGGTGGAAAATCAAGGAAGAAGGGGCCGGGTGCGGTGGCTCACGCCTGTAATCCCAACACTTTGGGAGGCCAAGGCGGACAGATCACGAGGTCAGGAGATCGAGACCATCCTGGCTAACATGGTGAAAACCCGTTTCTATTAAAAATACAAAATTAGCCAGGCATGGTGGTGCACACTTGTTAGTCCCAGATACTCCAGAGGTTGAGGCAGGAGAATTGCTTGAACCTGGGAGGCAGAGTTTGCAGTGAGCCAAGATAGCGCCACTGCACTCCAGCCTGGGTGACAGAGCAAGACTCCGTCTCAAAAAAAAAAAAAAAAAATCAAGGAAGAATATCTGCAGTTTTCTTAAAAGCTTATTAAAATAACATCCTTTCTCTAATTTGATATCTGTGTGAAGCCAAGTTTTTTTTTTTTCATATTCTTCAACCAAAATAAGGTATTGCAAGAGACTGAATGCAGAAGCAGGTGTGATAATCCAGGTGTCTTCCCTTGGGCCAGATGTTAAAGATATTTGAAAAAAAATACAAAACAATGCCAATCCTCTCACTATTTTCTTTTGAAAAACATAATTTGTTTGTTTTTGTTTCTTTGAGATGGTGTCTCGCTCTGTGGCCCAGGCTGGAGTGCAGTGGGGCAATCTCAGCTCATGTAAAACAATGACGCACTTATCTAGCCACATGTAGGTTAAGATAGCCAAAGTCATTTTTTAAGTGAGTGGGCATAATAAACACCAAGTTTAGAATGGTGGTGAGCTCTGGGCAGGGAGGGAGGAAAAAGCAAGTAGATCGAAGTGAGCAGGATTTGTGACTTTTTAAAAATTTTTTTATTTTTTGAGATGGAGTCTTGCTCTGTCGCCCAGGCTGGAGTGCAGTGGCTCAATCTCGGCTCACTGCAAACTCCGTTTCCCAAATTCAAGTGATTCTACTGCCTCAGCCTCCAGAGTAGCTGGGATTACAGGCTTGGGCCACCACATCCGGCTAATTTTTGTATTTTTAGTAGAGACAGGGTTTCACCATATTGGCCAGGCTGGTCTCGAACTCCTGATCTCAGATGATCTTTCCGCCTCGGCCTCCCAAAGTGCTGGAATTACAGGCATGAGCCACTGCACCTGGCCAAAAAATATAGTTTTTAAATAACGCAATTTATTTGTATTAACATAGAATGATATTATTATCATTTTAAATGACTTAATAAAGAAATATTTTTAAATACTCTTAATTTTAATTCTAATGTGTTAAATATCAATTTGCTATAATCCACATAAGAAAAAGATCTTTGTTGTCCTCAGTACATTTTAAGAGTATAAAGGGCTCACAAAACCAAAAAGTTTGAGAACCATGATGTAAAGAGAAATGCAAAGCAATGTTGCTTCTCTTTGGACCTAGATGAAGTAAGAGCCATCTAATGTTATATAATATGGGGATGCTTTGAAAGAGTTTCCACCAAACTGCCTTCTGGATGGACTTGTTTTGAACCCACATCTCTTGATCATCAATGCACTCACTGAGATAAGAATGACTTCCTTTGTTAAGATTCACATCCCACCAGGTCAGTGGCATATTCTCATCCTTCAGTGTATATGACTGCATAGAACCTACACTAAAAGGAAAATTATCTGTGAGTTCTTCTTTACAGCAAGTTAGAGAGAGATTCAAATGGTCTGTCCACAAGGAGAGTGACAGCTGGGGGAATGAAGGGCAGGAAGGTAAGCAGAGGTGAGGGTTCTCATTAGCCTTTATGCCACTCGATAGCATTGTCTGCTTAGATAGCTCCCAGATCACACAGTACACTCATTTTAATTCAAATTTCACATAAACAACATGTATTTTATTTTGTATAAATATGTCCCAAATCTTGCATGGGCCATACTTATACTAAAATATAATTGGCTGTTTTTATGAAATTCAGTAATAACTGAGTGTCTTGTATTTTCATTCACTAAACCTGCTAACCCTAGCTGCTTAGGAATAGATACTCTGCAGCTTAAGTGTTTGCTTCATTCATTGCTTTTTAAAATATCATTTCTGTTAAGTGCTTCATACCTTGTAAGAAGATAAAGAAACCAGTTTAGTTTTTAAGAGACTGAGCAAAAGACTTCTTTGTACTGGAATTGGTGGCATTTGATGCATACTTGCATAAGTATGTCATGGATGAAGAATTTTTGAATTTTTTTTATTCTAGTAGAATTTGTTGTCAGGTGACTTGTCCCATATATTTAGTTGCTCTGCCCTTAAGTACATAGATAGCAGTCTTACTTTCTTACTTGTACATTTGCTTCTCTATCTCTTTTATTTTTTTTGCAATGTTTTCACATTCCTTCAGTTAAAATTAAGCAAATAGAAAGCACTATTTTCTAACTCATTCTTTTATTCAGTTCAATTCAATGATTATGGAATAAGCACCAACTCTCTGCCAAGTGTTCTCCAAGGTGCTGGAAACAGCAGCATTAACCTAACATAAAAACTCTCAGAGTGGACATAACATTGCAGTATGGGGAGACAGACTCTATAAATATCATAGAGGTGGTGGTGTAAATAGTACTGAGAAATTAAGTCTGGTAAAGTGCTAGGTAGTGCCAGGGTGTAAGTGGATTTGATATTATAGATATGGCAATTGGGGAAAGTCTCATTTATAAGATGATATTTCAATAACAACCTAATGGAAGTATGGGGATGAGCAATGAGACCATCTCAGGGAATAGCATTGTAGGTAGAGGGACAAGAAAGTGTGAGGGGCTCAGATAGGAAAGTGATTTGTCAGTTTGAGAAATGGCAAGGAGGCCAGGGTGGCTGAATCACGATGAGAAAGAAGGAGAGTGGTAGGAAATGAAGTCAGTTGGTAGTGAAGAGAGGGTACAGTGTGGGCAGAATACATATAGTCTGATAAACCATAATAAAGACTTGCAGGTAGGATGTGGTGGCTTCTACCTGTAATCCCAGCACTTTGGGAGGCTGAGGCGGGTGGATCACCTGATGTTAGGAGATCAAGACCAGCCTGACCAACATGGTGAAACCCCGTCTTTATTAAAAATACAAATATTAGCTGGGCATGGTGGTAGGCACCTTTAATCTCAGCTACTCTGGAGGCTGAGGCAGGAGAATTGTCTGAACCCAGGAGGTGGAGGTTGCAGTGAGCCGAGATCGTGCCATTGCACTGCAGCCTGGATGACATAGCAAGACTCTGTCTCAAAACAGACAAACAAACAAACAAAAACACTTGGGCTTTTGCTCTCAGCCAGATAGGAAGCTACCTGTGGTTCTGACTCGTGTTTATACAAGTTCATTCGCAGTGTTATAAAGAAGATGCTGTGAGGTACTAAGAAAGGAAACAAGGAGAGAATATAAAGGGTGGTTTCAATATGAGATAATAGGAGAGAATGAAGGTTTAATCTGGGAAGGAAGCAGTGATGGAGGAGAAGCTGTCTGACTTTGGATAATATTTATAATGTAGAATCAGAATTTGCTGCTGCATTGGACATAGGCTGTAAGAGAAAGGGAGGAGTAAAAAATGACTCTAGCGTGTTTGCCCTGAACAGCTAGAAGGATAGAGTTGTCATTTACCAAGAGGAACGTGAAATAAGGAATGAGTTGTTCTGTTTTGGGAGGGGAGGGGGGATCAGCTGTTGAGGTTTATACATAAATTAGAGACGCCCACTAGATTGCCAAGTAGAGATGCTGGTGATGCTGAGAGCTCAGTTGGGTAAACAAGTCACAAATGACAGGGGCAGATCAGGATTGGAGAGAACCAGAAGCAGCAGCTACAGAAGGAGAAAGAAAAGAAAAGGCGAAGTAACGTGTACACAGGGACACAGCGTGTGGAATGACAGACACTGGAGGCTCGGAAGGAGCCGGGTGAGAGGGAGATGGATGACGAAATATTACTTAATGGGTACAGTGTTCATTACTTGGGTGATGACTATACTAAAAGCTCAGGCTTCACCATTATTCCATATATTCATGTAACAAAATTACACTTATGCCCCTTACATTTATACAAATAAAAAGATAGTAATCTCAGCTTCAAACGAAGGGTTTCAAGAAAGAGACAGTGATCACATGATGCTTTGTGATATGCAGATGTTGGTTAAAATGAGGACTAGATTAACCCCTGAGTCTGACAATAGAAGGCATGATGTCTCTGGCAAGAGCAGTGTCAGGTGTGTGGTGGACAGGTTGGGGCAAATTAAAGGGAAAATGAAAGGGAAAGGAGTGGGAACCAAGAGCAGGAGACAGATGTTTCAGGGTTCCCCTCTTAAAGGAGACCACAGAAATGGGACAGTAGCTAGAAGGTAGTGTGGGTGTCAGAAGGACTTTTTCCCTTAGCATAGGAGACTTTAGAGCATGCTTATATGCTGGTGGAAATGATCTAACATATTAAATAAATAGATGATGCAGGACAGTAAAATGACAATTCCTGAAGCAATATACTTAGGCACATGTCTCTAACAAATGGAACAACCTCGTTATTTGGAGATATGGAGTTATTCAATCTTAGGAAAATTATAAATTTAGATAATTGGCTAGCGATGTTTTTTAGCAAAAGGGCCAAATTAGCCAATTAAGAATGTGTACAAGCTGCTTTTCTCCTTCAAAATGAAAATAGCATATTGAGCTGGAAATGAAAAATGCAGGCTTTAATAACTTAATTTAAATATTTTATTGATTAGGAAAACATGAATGAGAAAATGCCTTTTTTAAAACAATTACATTGCTAATGTCTGAGTATCTAAGCACATGGAAGTATCATTCTAATATTTTATAACTTTGAATGTAAATGCATTTTGAGTGTTTCAGAGCATGGCAGGTGTGTGCTGGGACAGGCATAGGCATAGGAACTTGCTCACAGACCATCTAAGATCAAAGGCCCCAGCTGCTGCAACCTGAAATCCATTTTTGAGGTCATGCTTCCTGGAGGTTGCTTTTGGACAATGACTGAACATGCAGGGATACAGAGGCAGGCCCATTCCTGGGACACATGGGGCTTTGATGGGTGTCTCCGGTGAGTATTTCCTCATGGTCTGGCCAAACCTTCCATCAACTGCACTGTGGTCTGGAACGCGTTCCCTCTTCCTTTCTTCCTCTTCTCACCTGGGGGCCTGACTTGCATTGAGGTTGTTGCCTCTCCCAGCTTCTTCTAGCTCCCTCCCTATTTTATGTCATCGGTGTTTCCTCTAATAAAATATTTACAACATTATTCACATCTGTGCATCTGCCTCTTGGAGGATTCAGACTAACGTAAGTGGTACCAGGAGTGGCCTAGGAAGGTAAGACAGGACTTGGGAGGGGCTTCCCCCACTGACAGCAGGTAAAGAGTGCCATCGAGGTTTGTGGATGGGACATGGATAGCCCTGGCACAAGATTGCAGACCAAGTTCTAAACATGTAATTGATGGTGAACCGGGAAAATATCCTGGTGGAGAGAAATGCTGTGGCAGGTGCAGGGATGCAGGCATTTGAAAAATACGGGGATGAGATGGAAGAGTGCCTGTAAGACAGAAGAGTTGGCAGGATGCTGGTAAGTTGTACTGACTTGCAGAAGGATAATAAGAGACTGAGGCTATTAACAAGAAGTTAATGGCTCAGTGAAAATCCAGAGAACCTCTGTGGTCATTTACCAAGAGAAGGACAGGCACAAGTAAACAGCAGACTGGAGATTGTAGGAGTCTCTAAAGCTGTGAGGCATAGACAGGGCAGGTTGCTTATGGAAGGTTAGAACTCTGGTGGGAGAAATCTGGAGTCCAGTAACCTGGGGCAGGGCTATCTGGGTGGATGCTGGTGATGTTGACCCTGCAACTGCTCAAGGATCTGCTGGGCTTGCAGAGGTGGCCCACAGCCCCCTACCAAGTGCCAACCCTCCTGCTATGCTGAGAGGGCTGCAGAAACTCCTCTCACTTGAGTCAATGGGAGTCTCACTCAGCAAGTTCCCTGAGTCCTCTGCAAGCTGCCAAGACAACAGACAGGTCAAATACTAGTACAGCTTAGCTGGAGACATTCTGTGCCTGATAAGAGAAAAATGGACTCTGTTCTTACAGGTTTGCAAAATGTAGTAGTCATATGCCCCTAGGATTGGATTTGATGATGGATGAGCAAAAGGACCAGAATATATATAATCCCTCAAATCAATGAATTATTATTTATGCATATGTATGGACATAAGTAATATATATGCATATATATTCATATATATACATATATATGCATAAATAATAATTCACTGATTTGAAGGTACTTTATCAGGACACAGGACTTAACAAGGACCCCAAGAGATGGGGCAAATTGATGCTGGGGTGGCTCTTAGAAGTCTGGAGATAATGATGGCTAGCTCTTGGGGAAGTAGAAATGACACAGCTATTGTGGAGTTGGCAGAGAAAGGAACAAAGAGATTGAGGGAGGAGGTCATGCCAAAATGCATGGCTATGTGAAACCAGAAGGTTCACTGGAAGAGTGTGTTCCAAGAGAGGGCTTAGATGACTCAGTGTCACCCAAACCCATCAGGGATGTGATGATGAGAGGGGCACAGCCTCCTCAGGAAATTTGTTGGTGGCTCTCCTTTGCAGGCAGGCCAGGAATGAATGTAGAAGTGGCAGGCACAGGGCTGGGCTCCTTGACATTGATGGGGTGATGGGGTCCTGAAGTAATAGTGTCCCAGGGGTGGTGCTTAACACTGGAAGGCAGGAAGCAGAAAATACTGCAATGACCAGCAAGACTGATCCACTGGAGATTGGGGGCTTCCCATTCCCTCCACTCTGGACTCTGCAAGGTGTAAGTCTTGGTCCCCAAATGGAGCACAGACTTACCAGCAGCCATAGCAAGAGTCCCATTGAATTGCAAGTGATGGCTGCCTCTAGGGCATTTGGGGCTCCTTGTGCCCAGAGACCAGCAGACAGGAAGTCACCACAGTGATCATAAGTGACCCTAACTAGTAGAAGTATGTGGGACTGTTTTTACAAAATGCAGACAGAGAGAAACAGAAGAGGAACCCAGGTGACACTTTGGCTCCTCCCCATATGTCCTTGTACCATTGTGACAATGGATGGACATGGGATGTGATCCTGGACTGGGAAGGACAAAACTATGAGGTATTAGGGACCCTCAAAATGAAACTTTGGATTACAAAATCCAGACAAAGAAAGCCAACAATATGGGCTGAGGTGATATCTGAGGGTGAGGATAATTCATAGACTCAGGAGGCCGGGGCAGGAACGAAGAATGTCATGTGGCCCTGAGATCCACTGCAACTGAGGTTCCTCCCACTCATCTCCTTCTGAGTTTCTCAGGAAGAAAAGCCCACGGGAAACAGAGGAACTGTTTCTCAAAGCTGCACAGAGAAGTAAATCAGCTCAGTGCAAGAGGTGGATTGCGGTGGCCATCAGAACGCACCTGCCAGACCTCCAGCTGCAGGGAGTGTAACTGACCCGGGACTTAAGTTGCTTGATCTGAGTTCCATGTGGCATCATACAGAGGACACCCCTGTCCCACAGGCTGCTCCAACCCAGTGACTGACTATGGTAGGTTTACTAAGGCTGGACCATTCCTGGGAGGCACGGGGTTCCCCCAATGATGACTCAGCCCAAGGACTCCCCGAGGGCCTTGCACAGTGGTCCTGGACAACTTGCACCACCCTTTCTTTCCTCTTTCCCTCACCTGTGATCAGGCTTGCATTGAGGTCTGATGGCTCCCCGAGGGTCACTCACAGGAGTTTCCACTGTGAAAATCCTTGTGTGCTTAATCTTGTCTCAGCAGCAGTTTCTCAGAGGGCCCAAACTCACACAGGCAGCACTCGTTTAACTCAGCGTGACTTGCGCTATAAAGTGAAGAAAAGGCAGCTTCAGCAACTCATCCAGGATCATAAAAGGACTTAGCTACAGAGTTGGGGCTAGTTTGCTCTAGTCATGGCAACATGTACTGCCCACCATATCGTGCCAAGTACGATGCCAGGCTGTGGGAATGTAGAGATTAACTGTAATTTTCCTTCTTCTCCAAAGGAGACGACTCTCTCCCGGGGTTGTAGCATGGCTTCTCTGTTTAGTATGGCCAGAAGGGATGAGCCGTGGAGCGCAGGTTAAGTCTAATGCCCTCAGATCCAGAGAAGAATTAGCTACTCCAGCATTCCGATTGTGTGTGCTATCCTTAGTTGGACAGAGGTTCTGCTCAGTGCCCAGCAGACCCAGCCAGGTCTCAGCGATGAATGCAGCACCCGCAGGAACTGCACTCTTGGCAATTTCCAGTGGCTGTGCTGTCACAGCACACAGCAGTTCCCACAAGATCCCTCTCCTTGCCCATAGCCGGGATGGACACCCTTCTCTGTATGAGCCATGTCCTGATTAGGATTGGAGGCTAGTGGAGGACGGTGCAGCAACAATGTGAGAAGATGCTGCCATCTGCCTTTTACCACCCTTTTATCTTCCTATCACACCTGCCATCCTTTGGCATATCTAGGGAAGATCCAGCTTTCTTTAGGCACAAAGAAAATTCAAGGGAATCAGTACTTTGAACTTGAGTGGTGCTCAGATCTGTATATCAATGTGTGATGATGGATGGAATCTTATCTGCATTCATACCTATGAATAGGTCTGCATTCACACCTATGAATAGTTCTGCATGCATACCTATGAATAGTTCTGCATGCATACCTATGAATAGGTCTGCATGCATACCTATGCATTAGTTGGAGACAAATTGGTAACAATGGCATAATTGCATTATACTAGCAGAGAATAGCAAAAGCTTAATTAACAGGAATGTCCAGAACTCTCAGATAACTTGCATCAGTTATCCAAGGCATCTGTAACGAAATACTACAGATGTAGCTAAAACAAGATAAATTTATTTTTCACCAGTTCAAGATCAGGGTTGGTCTCTCCTGAGGCCCCTCTCTTTGGCTTAAAGTTGCCATCTTCTTCTTGTGTCCTTACATGGCCTTTTCTCTGTGTGTCTGTGCCCTGATCTCCTCTTCTTATAAGGACACCAGTCCTATTGGATTAGGATCAACCCTAATTAAAATATTTTAACTTAGTAATCTCTCTGAAGACCCTCTCTCCAAATACAGTCACATTCTGAAGTATTGGAGGTTAGGACTTCAACATTAAAATTTTGAGGGCACACAGTTCTGTCCATCATACCTTTTTTTGTCATTGACTTCTAGGAGAAATAAGCCAAATTTATTTGTTTTATTTTGTTTTTAAGTGTACATCAAAAATTTAATTTTTAAAAACTGTTACAATATATATTATTGTGTCAAGACAAAATAAACTCAGTATTTCACCCTACATGGCTTGCAAAGTTTCTGTAACCCACCTGAACCTGAAAGAAGATTATGGTGGCATGTCCTGCAGATCAGCTTTTGTGAGCAGTGGACGAATGAGCGGCACACGCTTTCCTGAGTAGAGGGCATCTTGCTATATCTAGGGAGTGTCCCACTATATCTTGATAAAGAGCAGCTCCTTGAGAAACAGCCACTTAGGGAGTGGGGTGGTGATATGGTATAGGTCTGTGTCCCCACCCAAATCTCACCTTGAATTTAATAATCCCCACCTGTCAAGGGCAGGACCAGGTGGAGATAATTGAATCATGGGGGATAGTTTCTCCCACGCCATTCTCCTGTTAGTGAATTTCACGAGATTGGATGGTTTTATAAGGGGGTTCCCCCTTCATTCGGGACTCATTCTCTCTCCTGCTGCCCCGTGAAGAGTTGCCTTCCATCATGATTGTAAGTCTCCTGAGGTTTCCCTAGCCATGTGGAACTGTGAGTCAACTGAACCTCTTTTCTTCAATCATTACCCACTCTTGAGTCTGTCTTTATTAGTGGCGTGAAAACCGACTAATACGGGTGGGGAGAGGATGCAGCCCCTTCCCCACATGCCCTGCAGCTGCCAGATCCCCTTCTACACGTTCTTGTTCCATGTTTGTGCCATAGTCACAAATGTCCTAAACGGCAGCCATCAGTCTCCACCCAACTCCATGTCTATAAAACGTGGAGGGCATTTGTTGAGTTATTAAATCAGGAAAACATACTTTAAAAATTCAAGGTTTTTAACAACATAAGCCGTTTTGTTTTTTCACAAAGTCAGGGCCACATCATAGCATTTCAAGTCTTATAATAAATCTGTGTCCTGTGTTTAGTGCTCAGCTATATTCTCTAGAGAATTAGCCCATCTCTAAGCCATAGCAGTAGGATGGTCATATGATTTAGGTAAGAAAATTAGGCCACATTGTAGAAAGCAGATTTTTCTCAAGGACAACTAAGATATTGGCTCTGAAACTGGCTGAAAGCAAGCCTGGTACCTGCTTGGTGATGGTATCACAGGTGTTTGCATATGTCCAAACCCATCAAGTTTTACGCATTAAATATGTGCAGTTATTTGCATACCAATTGTACCTCAAAAACGCCGCTGAAAAAGAAAATTTAAAATATGGTTCGGGAGGACACACAGAAAAACACACACAGACAAACACACAGTTACACACAGAGACACAAACACAGTTACACAGAGACACACACACAGGCACACACACCTAGCATATTTTGTATAATAATCTGTTTCTAACACCTTTGCAAATAAATCACAATATAAATACTTTGGAGGCACCAGAAGATGTAGGCTGCTGCCAGGTGACTCTGAAATCGAACGCTGCTCCACCTGGATGATGAGATGGACTTCTTTGAGATGCTTTTCTGGGAAGGGTTCTCAAGGTAGGGGGGCCCTAGGTTGGGGGGTTTCTCCATGGAAAACTGGCTCCCAGTTCTGGACTTCCTAGCTGGTCCTGACTCCTTCATTTAACCTCTGTCAGGAAACAGAGACAGCCTATCTGGAAACGAAGTTTCTACATGGTGATTTTTTTTTTTTTTTTTTTTTTTTGAGACGGAGTCTCGTTCTGTCACCCAGGCTAGAGTGCAGCAGCGTGATCTCGGCTCACTGCAAGCTCCGCCTCCTGGGTTCACACCATTCTCCTGCCTCAGCCTCCCAAGTAGCTGGGACTACAGGTGCCCGCCACCATGCCCCAGCTAATTTTTTTGTATTTTTAGTAGAGACGGAGTTTCACCGTGTTAGCCAGGATGGTCTTGATCTCCTGACCTCGTGATCCGCCTGCCTCAGCCTCCCGAAGTGCTGGGATTACAGGCGTGAGCCACCGCAACTGGCCCTACATGCTGATGCTTTTCAAGTCTTACCTTTGGGAAAGAAATGGAAACCATTTTCATTATGTCTTGGCCAAGGTACGAATACAGTGGTTTGGATTTTGTGGTTAAAAAAAAAGTGAAGACAGAATCAAACTGGAGAGGAGGAGGAAAGAAACAAAAAGGAATGGAAAAGGATGTAACGTGTCTTGCATTTTAAACTGCAGGGACAGCCTTAGTCGGTTTCCAAAATTAGACCCCAGTGACTGCCTGTGGTTTGATGACATTTTTTTCAATCTCCATGGGTCATAAGAGTTCAAGAAGGTTTCGATACATTAATGAATGTCACAGAAGACTCTAAAGTCCATAGTGGACATGGGCCAGCCCCGTGAGGCTCGGCCCCTGGTTTTCTATCTTTGACTATAGCACTAAGGACAACAATAATAATAAAAAAAGACACAATCAACTTTCTTGTTTTTAAAAACTTATGTAAGAAATTTCTTCTCATTTGTGAAGAGACCTTTGAATGACATTGTTGACAGCTGATGTGATACCTCGATTCTTATCTTCTTGGTTTAAAAGAATTTAAACAAGAGACACACAGCAAAGGAGGTGTAGCATAGAGTAATTTAGTTCAAAAGAAAAAGAATATTCTGAAAGTTAGATGCAGAAGAGACAGGATGTCTTGAATGAGGATTCAGGGCTGGCTGCCTGTGAGGATGAGACAGCAGAGGCTGGCTCTAGGGAGACTCCCTTTACAGAAGTCTTACCTCATTCTTCCTAAGTGGGTGGGAAAGGGCATTGCCAGGAAGCATGTTCTGAGTGGTCTTCTGGGTGCACATACACAGTAGCTGTACACACTTTTTCATATGTCACATGTCTCATCAGCATCTTTTTTTTTTTTTTTTTGAGATGGAGTTTTGCTCTAATTGCCCATGCTAGACTGTAATGGCACGATCTGGCTCTCTGCAACCTCTGCCTCCCAGATTCAAGCAATTCTCCTGCCTCAGCCTCCGAAGTAGCTGAGATTACAGGCATGCACCACCACGTCCAGCTAATTTTGTATTTTTGGTAGAGACTAGGTTTCACCATGTTGGCCGGGCTGGTCTCGAACTCCTGACCTCAGGTGATCCACCCACCCAAAGTGCTGGGATTACAGGTGTGACACTGCGCCTGGCCTCATTAGCGTCTTAAATCTCCAAACGGGGGTGTGTTTTTTGCTATTATAATGATCAAAGGGTCTATTTGAGGACAGATAAAATCAAAGTGCACCTGCTCTCCAGAGGGGGCAGTCCTTACTGAAGATAGCTTCCCTTGAATGAGCTCAATTACAATGCGAATGCTGAGGCTTACTGTGTTAATTGTAGGGTCACCACGATTGCTATGTCCCGAAAACACGGTCACTTCCCTGATACCTATCCTGCTTCAACATCAGAGAGACTTTTGGGAGATGCTTGGCGTGTCCCCTCTGCCACTGTTCCTCTCGGGCTCCCTGGGCTTCTCAGGCTCCGTGAGTTTCCGTGTTCTTCCCTAATGTCCAGAAGCCTCATGCAGAACGTCACCCACAGCTGTGCCTCCTTGGTAGGATTCGGTTTCCAGACACCTTCTCTTCCTAATGTCACATTAAACCTCTGAGAAACACACAGAACACCACTGGCTAGATGCCCAAACTGGGAATTTCAGCAAACTAAAACTTGGATAGCAAGGAGAATCCACATGGTCATCCATAATTAGAATACTGGGGATGCAACAATGACAAGGACTAGTTTATCACACAGCATTTACCCCACGCCAGGCACGGGGCTGCGGACTGCGTATTTACCATCCTCTAACCCACAGAAGCCTGGCTGAGGTAGGGATCGTGGTTATTTGTTTTTCACCGATGGAGGGGACTGAGACATAATTCAATACCGAAGTGAATATTCTGTCTCAATCATGTACTTCAAACATGTTTCACCAGGGAGATATCTCCTCATTAGAGAGACCTGAAAGCGAGCTAAATGAAGAGATTAAATGCATCTTCCTGGAAGGGGAAGGAAAAGCCCTCCTCTTGTCCCTGATCAGAAGTTCTCTGTTAGATGGCTGCTGCAAGCTGTTTAAATGATTCACGTAAGAATTGCCATGAATGATGTGAAATTCAAGTGCATGTATTATCTGGGGAAATAACACTTCAAAAGAGACCACAAAAGACTATTTCATTATGTGACTGTTGGTATGCATTTTAGGCCTTGGCCAGAGCTAGTTCTGAATACAATCTTTATTCACTCCTGAATCATACCCCAGACCCCCTGTTCACACAGCAACAGCTTTGGAAAAGAGCCTGGGACGCCAGAGGATCCAGGGGAGAGTACAAAGGCACCATGGATATTCTTTCAAAACCTGACTCAGGAATCCCATTCCCCCTCTCACCCACCCACTCAGCAAACTGAAGGGAGCTTTTCAGATATTTCCACTGCATTCGGATTTCTCTCCCCTTTCATTAGAATTGAGAAAATGGAAGCCAAATTGCAAAGGGATGCAGGCATGTTTGACGCAAAGGCATAATTTAGGTTTCAAAATAACTTTAAGAAGGTCACAGGAAAAGACTTTGGTTCCAGCAAGGGCAATCTGAGAATTAGTAAGCTCTCACAAATAATCACTCAATTTGCCTAGTTTAAGTATGATTAAGTTAAATGACAAGAAACTAACAAATGCCGCTGGGGTTCTGCAATTGCCAGGTGATTCATATGAGTTAGTAGGACCTAATAGCTGGTTGCAAGTCTATGTCAGATAAAAAAAGAATGACTTTGCTTTTCATCTAGAGCAGTAGTCTACAAACATCATTAATAGTGTGCTCCCACAGTAAGAAATGCTTGAGCGTATAGCCTTCATTCATGTTTGCACATGTGTTGAAAAAAATGTATACGTATGTTCCTGTATGTGAAACAGCTGGTGACATAAATTCTGACGAATACTCTCTGGGCTTGAATCCCAGTTCAGCCACTTATTTGTTGTAGGCCTTGGTGGTTCACTAACCTAATCATGCTTTAGTTTCCTCATCTATAAAATGAGAATGATAACTATTAGTACACTAATAGTTGTTATGAGAATTAAACTACTTAATACATATAAATCACTTTGAGCAGTGCCTGGCATATAATGGGTTCTATAGAATGTTAGCAGTTATTGTAGCTGTATTAATATATAAAATTGATATATTATAATTAACTATATATAATTATATATGATATTATAATCATTAAATGTAATATAATCTATATAATCATAATTAATATATAACATAGATGATATATGCTAATATAGTTTCAATCATTGCTAACATTCTGTAGCATTTGTTATATGCCACTTCTCCAAGTGAGATATATGTGTATATTTTATATATATATAAAATATATGTATATTTTAAGATATTATATATAAATTCTATATTTTATATATAAAATTCTATATTATATATATCCATCCCCTCTGTGGTGGAAAAGGTTTCATGTAATCAATCTTTCACCAGGTGAATGACTCAATGGTCCTCCTGGGGAAACTTGGCATGTAATAGGTGCAGTGTTGGTCTCTGCCGTTGACAAGAGTAGACAAGTCAGCCTTCATAAGGGGAAGACTATATTGTTGAGCTTTGCATAGGCTTCATCCCTGCTACTGTAAACATTTTATCAATGGGCCCATTGGGCAATAAGTATATTATACATATGTTTTATATATAAAATATATATATTTTACTACATACAAAAACAGAGGTTTTGAAAGGATGAGATAAACCTATACATAACTTCTGATATTTTTATCTAGCACCCCAATGGATGGCTTAAGAGCCCATTAGGGTGTATACATTCTAGTCTAGATATCAGGGACCGGCAATCATTTTCTCTAAAGGGTCGGATAGTAAATATTTCAGCTTTGCAGGCTATAACAGTCTCTGTAGCAAATACTCAATTCTAGTATTGTAGTACAAGAGCAGCCATAGACGATTTCAAAATGAATGTGCTTGGGTGTGTGCCAATAAAACTGTGTTTATAAAAAAACAGATAAAGAGTATATATACATTCAGGTGACTTTGCAAAGAATTAAGGAAGTTGAATCTAGCAGATAATCCCAAGGATTGACTAAGCTCAATTTTCCCACTCATGTCCCCAGCAGTGCCTGGGGAAGAGCTCTTCTCTGGACTTGGCTTCAAAGTTCAAGCATCCCTTCACCACAGCGCTCGCCTTAGAGGCTGCTAAGACAGAAACCCTTGACCTTGTTCTCCATCAGAGCATCAAAGAGCCATCATTCGGACTCGAAAAATACCAGCCTTCCTTCATGTATTCTGTGACAATGATTACTTCCTTTCCTTGCACTCCTGTACTCACTTCACTTATCCAACAGTAAGACTGTTGGGTTTCGGTTAGACTAGTTAGAAAGTGAGCTGAGGAGCACATTAGTTATTAAAATGTTAGGAAGCTTAAAACAAAACAAAAAAACAAACAAAAAACAGAAAAAGAGACAGATCTGGCCCTTGGATAGTTTGCCCACTCCCACCCTGGAGGAAAGAATGAGGGCAAATGGGTAAGAATTACAGAGAGCCGGACCCAGCTCTCCATGAGAAAGAACACTCCAGCATTGTTAGCTGTCTCTCATTAGCAAGCTTCCCAGCACTGGGATTATTTAAGCAGAAGCTGGAGACTTACCCCCATGGATAATTCTGCAGCAATTCTGAGTTTTGTAGGTGAAACTAGACATACTTTACAGATCTTTCTAAATCTAAGATTTAATTATTGTTATCCTAAGTAGTGGTGAATGTAGGTCATCATATTTGTTCTTGGAGGTCTGGAAGTGAAATATAAAATCATTACTGTGTCTGAGAAAGTAAAGAAGAAATCAGAGCATCAGGAACAAAGTATAAGATTGAGAAAAGAAATTCACAATAAATAAACGTACCATTTCTTAAAAGATACATTAGAGTGTTTGCATAAGCAGGTGATACTAGTAAGTATATATGGCTTTTCACGATATTTTCTATAAAATGAAATAGGAGGTAATTTTAACCTATAGCAAAATTCTAACTTATAATCAGATGTTAAAGTTGCAGTTTTCAATATCAATTTGGGATCCATACATGATCCCAAAATTAATTTTGAGTTCAGAATTTTCACTGACAGCAGCAAAATGCTGTAAGTGTCTTATTGGGTATAATAAGTAAAGTAAGAAAATGTGCTCCCAATTTCACACCTTGGTTTCCAGTCCATGCATTCTGTCTTTTGGGAGGAGAGAATTATGTAAGAGTCTCATTCAAAAGTTACGCTGAATTCTGGAAGACAGAAGCCCATCTTTTTAGGATGTTGTCTTCCGCATCCTTAACTGAGTCTTCAGCAAGCCATTCCACCTGTCAGCTAGGCCAGCTGCTTCTGGAGGATAGACTAGGTGGCAAGACAAGTTAATGCCATGAGCTAAGCCCATTATTATACTTCTGCTGTGAAATGGGTTCCTGGAGCAGAAGCAGTGCTGTGCAAAATAGCATCACAGTGGTGAGCACTTACGGGAGCCCAAAGTTGATGGTCCTGGCAAAGCATTCCAGGAAGGAGAGGCCGACCTATATCACAGTATATGTCTAGTGCAGTGAGTACAAGTATCCATCCCCTCTGTGGTGGAAGAGGTTCCATGTAATCGATCTTTCACCAGGTGACTGACTCAATGGTCCTCCTGGGGAAAGTTGGCCTGTAAGAGGTGCAGTGTTGGTCTCTGCCGTTGACAAGAGTAGACAGGTCAGCCTTCATAAGGGGAAGACTATGTTGTTGAGCTTTGCATAGGCTCCATCCCTGCTACTGTAAATATTTTATCAATGGGTCCATTGGGCAAGAAGTGGGGTTGCTGGAGAGAGAGGCTGACTGATGTTTACAGAGTGTCTCATTTTGTATACCTGATTATGAAGAGCCTCCCCCTCTGCGGTCCATGCCTGTGAGTGAACATTCACATGCCTCGCCAGCATCTTCATGGCCTGTGCCTGTTCTTAAAGCTTATTCTATATTCCTCTCTCCCAGCCTTCCTTTTCACTAACCTTCCAAGTCCCATCTCTTCCAAATCCCTGACTGTCAAGTCAAACCAGCATCAGTCACCCATGCATCTGTGTAGATCTCTACTTCTGGCCCTCTGTCATGGCAAAGATAAAAGTGGACAATCTGACACATGAAGTTCTTCCCCTTGGGGGGATTGTTTTCCTCACCATTGTCATTCAGGTTTGCCCCTGAGGGCCCTGTAATGGGGCAGCTGTCTAGGTTCAGGTGACATCAGCACGTAATGCAGGCCTGTCTGTAAGCTAGGCTGGGTTTTTTGCCCTAGATCAATAGGCGATAAAGGATGCCACAGGAGGGCTTGGCCATGACTGAAGGGAAGTCAGCAATGCTGAAGGAGCTGGTGCTAGAGGAATCTAAAACTCTTGCTCAGGTAATGTATTTATCTATGCTGGGTCTGTCCAAGTCAGCTCTTATTCACCATTCCCCCTTGATAAGGGATTACTGCTGTGCATACCCAACCTTGGCTTATGGGTCACATAGCACCAATTGGTGATGGGAAATTTAGGCTTAATGTCCCACAGTTAGGCATTCAGTCTCTATCCATGGCCCTGAGAATGTCTGTCTTAAGAAGGATATATATTTCCAGAAGTGGGAACAGATTTCATCCTAACCCTGGAGGTTCTCCCTGTGACTCTCCTATTGGTGCTTGCCAGTAACACCATACAACATCCCTATGTTCCACAGACACCTCAGGGAAACACCAGATCATGAGCCCATGTGAGGGAGCAGCTCACACTGCAGCCTGGGCATATGACAGAGACTTCACTCACTCTCCTCACCAGGCAAAACTAGCAGATTTATAGGAGACTGTGCAAATAGGCCTAAGTAACACACTCAACTGTGAAAAATACTGCCTTTAAAATAAAAGAGGTCTGCAAAGAGCCATGTTTTTGTTCTTCTCTGGTGATAGGTGCAAGGAGGAGCAGCAACTGGTCTTTCTACTTAGAGGTCATTGAGACCTCAGAAACATCACCGAGGTGGCAGGCCCCTGGTTTGATATGGGACGTATCACCCGTGCTCCAGGTCAAATATGTCATATGGAAGTACACGCTGCTCATCAGATCTGAGCTGGCTAATTTGTGGACTAGTGTGATGTTTCGTGAAATGTAAAGTCAATTAAGATTTTAGAAACTGCATGTCACCAGAAAGCAGGATAATTGGTACTGCCCTAAGCAAGATTGTGAAGTTGTATTATTGGCCCTGACAGATGAAAGCAAACTGCTTCTGGTTTGTCCTTCTAAAATAATATGAAGGAAAGAAAACATTCTGCATTCTGAATGCCAGGCACTGTGTTGACTTCCTTCAGGAAAGATGCTACCTCTGAAACAGCACCTGGAATTGGAATCACCACCTAATTGTGTTTATGATAATCTGCAGAAACTCCCCATGATTCATCCAACTGCTGTACAGGCTGAACAGGTGAGTTAAATGGAGGTGTGATAGGGATCACCACACTGCATCTTTGATGGTAACACTCAACCCAGCAATCCCCCCTGCAGGAATTGCTTCTGGTGTACTAGCTTGGTAGGGAAAGAAAATTCCAGTGTCTTCTACTTAGTGTTTCCTATAATGGGCCTCACCCTTTTGGCTAGAGAACTAATGTGGAGACTCTGACAGTTGCCAGATATGTCTGTCCCAGTTACATGTTCAGGAACTGGGGAAATAACCATACGTGTGTGTGTGGATTATCTGGGCCCACTGCAGGTTGAATTTCAGCTAATCCTCCATCTCTCACCTGACCACCATAAGTACCACTCTGACTGGTGAACCACTGTAGTTATTCAGAATTCTGCCAACCATGCGGAAGCTCAAAATGCTGCTCTCATAAACAGCTTGCAAGCTGGAGGACCACCTCCTATCAATATTTTACTTGCTGTCTTTCAAACTGACATTAGCAAGACTCTAGCATATAAAGCAACAGCAGGATAGAACAACCAAAAGGGATCTTAGTCCTTCACATATTACCCTTTAATTTTTTTCGAAAAAAAAAATGGATACTTCCTTTTGGCTCTTCAAGTCACCTCTTGGTACAAAAAAAAAAAAAAAAAAACAACCCTCTTTCTTTGAGTCTTAATTTTGTAGTTTAGGACGGGGGAAAAAGAATAGATCGATTTACCTGAAAATAAATGTCCTTTGGCATCCTGTCCCACCTATAATCCTATCTTTTGCAGATATAGAAGCAAAAATTGCTGTTAGTGTTCCACCAGAGGTCTGTTGAGAGGTCATGATGGTTTCCCGAGACCGGCCAGTACATCACGGGGTATGTTCTCATCAGGCCGTGAGCTTGATGGTCCCTTCTGCACAACAGGCTGTGAATGCCATTCCGGTTTCCACAGGTAATTCTAAATGAAGACCCAAGGCTTCAACAGTGACATTTCAATTTGTCCTCTCTTGTCCACCTTTCTCTCAATAGGTGTCTGAGATGTGCATATATTCATATATTCTATGGCAGCCTTCCCATTTCTCACTTTTCCTAATAGAGAAAACATTTCCTTTCTTCACAGCTTCAACTCAAAGCTCTCCCTCCCTGGGTACCACCTAGACAGGCCCACACACTCTCTCCTTGGCGTCAGCTTTGGCTCTCTTGCCTTCTGTCAGCATTTGGCCCTTGGAGGAAGGGAACCAGTGCTTGTCTCCAAAGATGTAACCATGACAACAAGATTGTGGGGTTTATCTCTCCAGCTCCTCATAAAGGCTTTCCTAATTTCTCTGGATCTTGACATCTAGGAGTTGTCCCATTTGGTCTGAGGAATTTTTAGGCTGTCTCAATGGTACATGAAGAGTGCCCTTCATGATACAGTGGCATTTTCTGAACTACAAATACTGGGTACCATTCAAGCCACATATATCTTCTCTTCTCCAACCTCCACCTCAAATATAACTATCAAGAAATACAGTGCTTAATTCCTTTGCAGTTTTTAGATGTTGCACAGGCTGTGAGCATTGACTAGGTAAATTGTTCCCCTTCTGATTATAAACTTTTATGTTGTTGAGACAAAGTAAAAAGACAACACCGATGTCCTTTGGTAAATATTAACCACCAAAATTCCATTTCACCTGCCATTGAAAGCATTATTTGCAATTTATGAATGGCCAAATGTCTGCCAGACATTCATTATTTTTTGTCTGCCCAGTAATATTTCAGAGAATGTGTTTCAATCTTTGATTTCCTGATGAGGAAATTGAGGTTTAGGATATTAAGTGAGTTCTCCAAGGTTACACGTCTGGTCAAGGGCAGAGCTGCAATTTTTACTATTATGGCCTAAAAGCTCTCTCTTATTAAATCAGCAATTCTGGGAGAAGGAAGAAACAGCCAACAAGAAGGGCAGAAGTGAGGTAGGCAGAGGAAATCTATTTGCTAGGATGTGGGAGTAAACGCATCGTGTTGAGATGTGAAAAAATGTTCTTCTTTCTTCATCTAACCTTGCTGTGAATTGCTGAGCACAATGTCTCCCTGTAGTAAACAAATGGTGATGCCCAAGATTGACTGTCTGATTTAACTCTCACAACTGTTTCTGTCCCCATTTTTACCATGAAGTAAACAGTTTTAAAGAGATTAAGTAATGTTCCCAAACTGGTAACACTTCTCTATCATGAAGACAGGATTAGAAACTGCTGCTATAACATAGGCAACCTCAATGCGTCTCAACTGCTTATTCATGTCCATATCCAGTGGATCAAGTAGTGTCTCACGCTGACATCTGCTGGCACCAACCACAAACTGGCTTCCTGTTTAGAGATGTCAGTCTCACTATGGTGCCGCATAAGTCTGTGTTGACTGTGCAATGGCCTTGCTGACTTTCCTTGTGGTCTCTGCTACCCTGCCTTTGACCTTCATCTTCTTATGACTTGTTTGCCTACTCCTTCTGCCACACCCACCAGGCCAGCCCTCCCAAATCCACTTAATTATTGTCCCACCACTTACCATCTGCACGTATGGTCCTTCACTCTCTCTTGCGTATCTCCTGTCATCTCCTGGGTTCCTCCAGTGGCTGCAGTACCCCCAGGTCTGCCGTCTCACAGCAGCTGTGTGGAGCCTCTCAATTACACAACCCAATTACACAGCCCAGCAGTGCTTTCCCAGGCCCGCAGGCTGGCCCATGTGGGTTTCAACACTTTTTCCAGCATTAGAATTCATGATCCCAGATCAAACACATTTATATCTTGCAGGTTTATTTTGTTTCAGTTTTTGGAAAGTAATCATCATGGACCATTTTTCGGTAGTGGTTATTGCCCATTGTATCTATGTGGCATCATTTCCTGCCCCGCCATCTGGGTGAGGCAAGCACAGAGAACAGATATGACAAAGAGTCAGAGCTAGGAGAAAATTTAGATGAATTTTTTCAAGTTCCTATTTTTATAGATGAGAAAATACAAATGACTTGTCCAAATGCATGCAACTGATTTTTAGGAAGCTTAACTTGAACCTTGATAGCCTGCATTTTGGTCTGGCATGAAGTCTGGTACCATTTATTGATCAGTCTTTGGAGAAAAAATGAATTCTAGAAGCTTCATTTCAATAACTAGTGTGATTTCATGAAGAACGGGTTATGCTTCACCAGCTTGTTAAGAATTCTTTGAATTTTACTGTCACTTAATGCAACTGCAATGAAATTGTACATAATACAGCAGCAGGGCATTCGTACTGTTTTGTAACAAAGTTTCTTGGTGTCAAATTAAACTTTATTCAAAGGGCAAAGGAATGCAGTATTAGCCAAATGCAAGAAAGTCAAGTAATCCTGTAAACAAGCATGGAGTTATAGAACCTAGAAGCAGACATTCCTGGTTCTGGAAAAGATATTCAAAGTCTTATTCCCAGCCCCCACATTTTACAGTTACGTGTCTTCAGGATTCACACCCAGGACTAGAAAAGGCGCCTACTCCAAGGGCTCTTTCGATCCAAGGGTTTTTTGTTTCGTTTTGTTTTCTTTAAACACATTTCTCATAGGCTCAGCAGAAGTCTTTGTACAGGATGTCCTACCGTCATCGTTAATATTAAAGAGGTGAATAATGATACTGAGAGCAAGCTTTTTTGGGTCAGTAAATTATACTAAACAGTGTAACTTCAGCAAACAATGATAGCAAGACTAGAAAGGGACCTGGTAGCATCACTCCAGGGTAGCAGAAGTGATTAAGTATCGATAGGAGGGAACAACTTCCTACTGAACAAAGAACAAAAATAAAATGCAAAGGAATCCACAAATGTCTTGTGGTTTACCCAGAAAAAAAAATACTTGATCAAAATCTCTTATTTTACAGATGAAGGCAGGGGCCTCAGCTGGCTGTGATTCACCCAAGTTCTCATGGCTATTATAAAGTATTGCTGAGCAG
Organism: Homo sapiens; assembly: GCF_000001405.40. NCBI lineage: Eukaryota > Metazoa > Chordata > Mammalia > Primates > Hominidae > Homo > Homo sapiens. Next base: position 153,684,450 of record NC_000007.14, read on the forward strand.
GTGGCAATTTTAGATTTGACAGAGATACAGATAAATAGACTCAGAAATGGACTTTTCTGACAATCACCTGCTTCTCAAGGGCTAGGCTTGTGTAACTAGCTCTAATAAATCCCAGGCTGCTATCTCATGGGAATCTGTCATTATACCACCCAACTGGCTTGTCTTTACCCAGCTCTCAATCCCCCAATACCTGCTCCCCCATGTTTTAAACAGCCAGTACTAACAGTGTTAGTCTTTCTATAACGTCAGAAAGATCTCTCCAGTGAGAAGCACAAGATATTATTTCTTCTGAAACCAGCCCAGCGCTCTTTGTACCATGACAAACGCTCTTCTGCCATATGCCTCTTCATACCTGCATTAGTATGCCAGGGCTGACATGAGAAATGACCACATACTGAGTGGCTGAAAACAACAGGATTTTTTTTTGTCTCAAAGTCCTGAAGGCTAGAAGTATGAAATCAAGGTCTTGGCAGGGCCTTGCTCTCTGTGAAGCATGTAAGGGAGCATCTGTTTTTGCCTCTTCCAGCTCCTGGTGCTGCCGGCAATCCATGGTGTTTCTCGGCTTGTAGATGCGTCACTCCAATTTTGCGTCTATCATCACATGAAACTCCATGAGTCGACCTCCTCTTCTTATAAGGATACCAGTCATATTGGATTAAGGGCTCGTCTTACTCTAAGATGATCTGATCTTAATGCAGTCACCCTATTTCTAAATGAGGTGGCATTCTAAGACACTGGCGATTAGTTAGGACTTTGTGTATATGTTGGGGGACACGATTCAACCCATAGCAATGCCCCAAGTCTTTGGGGACTCCTTCACCCGTAGCTGGGTCTGGCTATGCTGAACTGCTCCTTCTCCATGCATCCGTGTCTTCTTAAGATATTTAGCTTACCAATCCCATTAAAAAAGTGGGCAAAGGATATGAACAGACACTTCTCAAAAGAACACATTTATGCGGCCCACAAACACATGAGGGAAAAGCTCAGCATCACTGATCATTAGAGAAATGCACATCAAAACCACAATGAGATACCATCTCACGCCAGTCAGAATGGCGATTATTAAAAAGTCAAGAAACAACAGATGCTGGCAAAATTGTGGAGAAACAGTAACACTTTTACACTGTTGGTGGGAATGTAAATTAGTTCAACCATTGTGGAAGAGAGTGTGGACATTCATGAAAGACCTAGAACAGAAATACCATTTGACCCAGTCATCCCATTACTGGTTATATACCCAAAGGAATATAAATCATTCTATTATAAAGATACATTCATGTGTATGTTCATTACAGCACTATTCACAATAGCAAAGACATGGAATAAACCCAAACGCCCATCAATGATAGACTGGATAAAGAAAATGTGGTACATACACACCATGGAATACTATGCAGCCATAAAAAGGAATGCGATCATGTCCTTTACAGGGACATGGATGGAGCTGGAAGCCATTCTCCTCAGCAAACTACTGCAGGAACAGAAAACCAAACACCACATGTTCTCACTTATACGTGGGGGCTGGACAATGAGAACACATGGACACAGGGAGGAGAACAACACACACTGGGGCCTGTCAGGGGGTCAGGTTGCAGGAGAACATCAGGATAAATAGCTAATGCATGCTGGGCTTAATACCTAGGTGATGGGTTGGTAGGTGCAGCAAACCACCATGGCACACATTTACCTATGTAACAAACCTGCACGTCCTGCACAGGTATCCCGGAATTTAAATTGAATTAAATTAAATTTTTAAAAAATATGTTCAGTTTACTGTCTCATCTCATCTAACAGTTTTTGTTGTTATTGTTGCTGCTGTTGTTATTGTTGTTTGAGACAGGGTGTAGCTCTGTCTCCCAGGCTGGAGTGCAGTGGTGCAATCTCGGCTCACTGCAACCTCCGCCTCCCAAGTTCAAGCGATTCTCCTGCCTTAGCCTCCCAAGTAGCTGGGATTACAGGTGTGCGATACCATGCCTGGCTAATTTTTGCATTTTTAGTAGAGATGGGGTTTTGCCATGTTGGCCTGGCTGATCTTGAACTCCTGACCTCAGGTGATCCGCCTGCCTCCGCCTTCCAAAGTGCTAGGATTACAGGCATGAGCCACCGCACCCAGTCAACAGTTTTTAATGATCCTTTAGTCATAACCCTTTTGACTTGAAAAATTAGTATAGTCCAGAACCTTTTGGGTTGAAAAACTGGTATATTCCAGAAGTATCTTTTCTACAGGGCAGCACAGAGAAGGGTCCAGGTAGTTTTAATAGATAAACTTATGCAAATTTGTAGCACATGAAGCTATTGCTCTTTCCAGAAATATGTTCAAGTCTCCTGAAGTTCCATTAAAGAGGCAACAGCTATGGAGCTGCAGTTATCCTTGCTTATTGGTTCCTTCTCACTGTTCAGGACATCTGCCCCCTGACTCCTTTCATTTCAGCTCCCCACAGCACAGCTTACATTCATAGGCCGGGTACTGTGTGCCAGGAACTGTGGTAAGGGATGGAAATTGAAAGATAATTTCAACTCCACCATAACTCTCAGGGAGCTCACAATCTAGAAGAAAAGTTACCTAACTATATGCAATGTGATACAGTTATAATACCACGGGCATAGCGTTTACAAAGGAAGTACTAGAGGACCCAGGGTATTGAAGGATTGATTGTGCATTCAGAGATAAGAAAGAAAAAGTGGACAAAGGCCATTTTATTTGGATCTTAAAGAGTAGACAGGAGGAGTGAGAGGAGGAACATTCAGTTTCAGTCATGAGGGCATAGCCAGTGTCTGATCTACTCTTTTTCCATAAATGATTATGAAAGCTGGATTAAATATGTAAAACAGCTGTTTTCAGGACTTGGTCAACACCCAACAGAGGGCTACAATTCTTGAGAGAAAGCAAGCACAAGAAATAAGCCCCATATTGACTCCAGCTTCCAGGTGCAGGAGAACAGTGCCCAAAGAGGAAAGGGCAGATCACCAGGTAGGAGAACCATCAGTGTTCAATGCTGCTAAGAGGGCTGAACTTGGCAGGCAGGTGATTGGCAAGGAGGGAACTGCAGAGGGAATCCCAAACACCTGCAAACATATTCCCTGAGATCCTTGGTGATTCTCAAGCTACGAATTCACAAGAAGACTCAGAAAGAATAGCAAAGAACAATTGCATAGAACCTAAGAGGTGAGCAGAGATGAGACATCCCAATGTTGGGGAGAAGTTGGAATCTGTAACTAGCCAGAGACTAGAGACACTGGTGGATTATTTGATTGTGACCCTAGAAATGTCAATCCTTAAGGAAAGGTGTAAAACTAAGCTGAACACATTTTTTAAAGCCAAAAACCAAGCCTCTATAGGATAAAAGTTATATGCTTTTAAGTATTTTAACTGCCTTCCAAAATAAAATTCAATACTCTTCAGAGGAAAATAACTTCATACAGACCCTCCACAAAATAGAATCCACCATCTACAGCTACCAATAAAAAATTACTGGGTATGAAAATTAGCAGAAAAAAAAGGTGGCTTATAATAAAGAGATAATAGAGTTACTTAAATAGACCAAGATTTGATAGTTTGTATAGATTTTATTGGCCTGACTTTGATTCTCTCATCTTTTCTTCTGATGTTAAACCCGTCCAATTAATTTGTCTTTTCAGATATTTTTTACTATTCAATTTTAGATTTTACATTTGGTAGTTTCCTTTATCTTGTTTTTTTGTGTGTGTGTCTTGCTGAAATGTGCCATCTTTTTGCCTTAATTGATCGTCTTACATTAAATTTTTCAACATATTAATATTTAAAATAATTGTTACAAGTCCTTGTCTGCTAATTCCAAAACTTGGGCCATCGCCGCTTCTATTGCCATATATGTTCTTTTGATCATGGGTCACATTTTTTGGCTTCTTCATATTGCACACATATTTTTATTGCATGCAGGATATTGTGCAAAAAAAAAAAAAAAAAAGAACAGCAGAAATTGAAGTGCAGAATATTTTCCCCTAGTAAAAGCTCACTTTTTCCTCTGTTAGACAATTAGACTAAGGCTCTGTTTTCTCCAAGCTAGTGACTAGTTGATGTGGGTTGGGTCTGGGTAGTCTTTAATGACTTCCACCACAAGTGGGTTCAGACGTAGACTCTTTTTCTTCCTTGAGCACTTCTGTACCTACACTCCTCATGATCATGCGATCACCCAGGCCCCAGCTTCCTGCTCTACAACTTATTCAGCAAAAACTTGTGGTGTCAAATTGTCAAGTCATAGACACTTTTCTGTATTTGGAGCTCCCTCCCATGTAGAGAATGAGGCTTCTTTCTTCTTTTTCCAGCAACAGTCCACTGCCTAATTAATGCTCCTCCATGGCTGCGCTTCCAGGATTGGCAAATGCCCACAGGGATGAAAGTGGTTCCTAGGGCCTTCCTAGGAAGGCTTTGTTCCTGTCTGGAAGTTAGGATTTTTCTGTTTCTCTGCATCCAGTGCTCTTTACATAAAATTTGCGAACTTACTTATGTTTTCTTTCTTTTCTTTTCTTTTTTTTTTTTTTTTTGAGACCGAGTTTTCTTCTGTCACCCAGGCTGGAATGCAGTGGCACGATCTCTGCTTACTGCAACATCCACCTCCCAGGTTCAAGTAACTCTCCTGCCTCAGCCTCTTGAGTAGCTGGCATTACAGCTGTGTGCCACCATGCCGGCTAATTCTTGTATTTTTAGTAGAGATGGGGTTTCACCATGTTGGACAGGCCACTTGAGATCACTCCTGACCTCAAGTGATCTGCCTGCCTCGGCCTCCCAACGTGCTGGGATTATAGGTATGAGCCACCGTGCCCAGCCTGTTTTCTTGATGTTATAGCAAGACCTGTGATCTTCTATGATTTTCCACATCCTCATTAGATAGTAAGACTTACCTGGTAGTGTATTAACTTAAGAATATTGAGATTCTCAAATTCTTCTTCAATTTTCTCCAATAAATAGAATGGCTATATATGGAAGATTAGCTAAAATTGTATACTCAGAAATTTTACCCCTCTGCCTATACATATGTGTGTACATATTTATCTAGTATGTTTGTGTGCATGTGAATTGTGATTGAAAGCATGATTAGAACATATAAGCTTTTCCCAGCCTCATCCACCTCTAGTCCCCTCTGCTGCTTGCCTTACCAATTAGCATTGAGCCACCATTATATCATGGCTCATGAGGAAGTCAAACCCCATTCACTTCCTACTCATCTTCTTCTAGTAGTTTCTCCTAGTGCAGGTTAGAAGACTAGAAAACCTGCTTTTTTCTATCTCCCTGGAGGTAAGCAGGAAGGTCCTGATGGGCCCATACAGTTTTGCTGCATGAGATTAACCCACAAAATGCCCAGAAATTCAAAACATAGTTACGGATTTGCTGAGTAGCTGCTGAAATGGTGAGGTTATGCAACCTGGAAACATGGAGCTGTTAACTTGTTGGGATTCACTCAGGATGGTGGCGGAAATATTAAAGGGAAATATTAGGGCAAGTTATAGGGAATAGTCATGAACCTTTTGGAAGGCCGAAAGGTTACATAGCTTGTAATAATTGAACAGGCTAAAGGCAGCCAGTTCTTACCTTAGAGTATTAGGTCACAGGGTAAGTACGAAGGACAATAGAGGCTTCCCCAGTTAAGTCTGTTTACCCTGCCTCCATTAACTAATCTTTGAGCCAGATGAACCTCTTACAGGGAGGTCGACTAGGGATATTGCCCCCTAATGGTATTTACCTTAGACCTCGGTACCTGAGCTTTAATCATTCCTAGAACTACTCTCTGAACCATGTTAATTATCCACAAGTGTGTTTACTCAAAGCTTCTGTTGTTAATTGTATACCAAATAAATGCCTGGAGTGCGAGCTGCTCAGGGCCAGTGCAGTGACAAACCTCTCTTGGTGTGCAGGTGGTCGGACACTCAGCTGGACTGGCAAAGCAGAATATCTGTGTGTCAGTGTACATTTTATTCATCCTTCATTTGGGTCAGGGTCTGCAGGCAGCCCCCCCACAGCTAATGTCCTCTTGTGAGGAGCAATACCTCATTAATTCATGTGGAGAAAAGCTTCAATCAATGGCAGGGAGAAAGTAGACACATACCTTCACCTTCCTTTTGATGGACTTTCCAAAGCATGGTTCTGCATAAACTCTGTTAGCAGATATGGCTGACTGCTGAGGGGGTCCACCTGTAGAACAACTGACAGTATCTCTTTATGGAATTGTCATGAAGCTGTGATAAGCATGGTATTTGTATTAGTCTGTTTTCACACTGCTGATAAAGACATACCTGAGACTGGGCAATTTACAAAAGAAAGAGGTTTAATGGACTTACAGTTCCACATGGCTGGGTAGGCCTCATAATCATGGTGGAAGGCAAGGAGGAGCAAGTCACATATTATATGGATGGCAGCAGGCAAAGAGTGAGCTTGTGCAGGGAAACTCCCCTTATAAAACCATCAGATCTCATGAGACTAATTTACTATCATGAGAACAGCACGGCAAAGACCTGCCCCCATGATTCAATTACCTCCCACTGGGCCCCTCCCACAACACGTGGGAATTCAAGATGAGATTTGGGTGGGAGCACAGCCAAACCATATCAGTACTGCATTACTTGCATTGCTTTCCATCATTTCTTCACAGCCTCCATTTTCTCTCACTCTTAGATTGCTCCTTCGAAACAAAACTTTGCTGGTTAATTTTTTTTGTCTGGGTCTGATCTCTGGGAAAGCTGAGTTAAGACAATCTGAATCATGCATCTCAAACTCATGCAATGGGAGGAAAGGGAGTACAAACAAATTGAATTACTCTTGATATTAGTAGAAAATATCTGTGTTTATAAGTAAAGTACAGTTTGCTTGCCTAGAGTTGTTTCAACCTTTTCATATGGAAAGAGCACCTCCCATCCCTAGGAGAATAAGAAACCATTCCACTTACAATCTCTACACTTTTAAGGTTCTGAATGATAACGGTATCTGAATATCCAAACATGACATTTCATCAGAAAGTAGAATTTGCTTTTTTTTTACTTATTATTTTTATTTTCTGATCCACTGACTTTCTGAATATCAACCACCATTCATCAACAAGTAGGTGAAGATATCCCAACAACAGATTCCCAAGGAAAGGCTTTGAATCAAGAAACTGCCATTAAATAGCTGTATGGCTGCACAATTTAAGTAACCTTTCTGAACCTCAACTTTCTCATCAGATAAAATAAAGACTAAATGAGATGAGCATGGGCACGCACCTCACTCTGAGCCGGGCACTTACTAGGCACACAGCAATGTTCATCTAATCTGAAACTTTGTGTTATTTCAAACAAATTACTTTGCTTGATATTGCTTTTAGAAGAATGTCCTATTCCACCTCCGGATGCTAATTGCCTTTTCAGATTATGTATCTCATTAAGCTGTGTATATCTTCATGTTTTAGATTCAGTAGTAATTGAGTGCTCAGTCATTGCTATATTCACTATCCTGACAACATTTATTAAAATGAAGCAATTAACTATTGTCTTAAATGGAGTTTAGAGGTAAGGCTCATTAGACTTAGGCTCATTACAATTAACTTAAGTGTTAAATGCAAAATTATTTTATCCCAACTTTACCCTGAAAATGTATTCAAATGGATTTCTCTAGAGCTGGCATTCCTTCGTCACATAAGCGCAAAACTAGTTAGAAATATTTCAGTGAAACACAATCTTCATTAAAAAGATATTATTAAAAATGTAAAGCCCCAAATTTGCTCACAGGGGTTCCTGCTCTGTTAACATCTGAACCCAGGCACACCTTGCTTCACGGGCTGCCACATAATTGGACTCAGAGGCTCACTAAAGTTGAGGTAAAGAAGGAAGCAGGCCTGGTTTTAAATGGCTCAATCCTTTATTTGTATTCAGTTTCACAGGAGATGAGCCCCCTTTGCCTACACAATGGTAAGAATGACAATGCAGAAGAGAGGCTCCTCTTCCTATGGATTTGCTTCAAGGAGGTCAGGGCTGTCAGTGGTAAGTGATTTTCTACTGGGTTCATCAGTTATTGTACAAAAGTGTGGCTTTCCTAGCTCTCTTGCCAGACTACAGACATTAGACAGAAGGTTTAGAAATTTTATTTTATTTTTCCAACAGTTTTGTGAAAAGAAAATAGAAGCAAAGAAGAATCCTGTCTAGCTGCATCCAAACCCCTTTTCCCAACATAATGCAACAGATACGAATTTTGTGGAAAGCACCATTTAAGGGGCTGTGCCAAGGGGTGGCGTGGGAGTCAGGCAGGACTGTGTTTCACTCCTGGTTGCACCAGTGATTACCTGTGGGATCTTCCAGACATATATAGCCTCACAAAATCTCATTTTGTGATTTAAAAAATAAAATCATGCCTTTTTTTTTTTTTTTTTTTTTTGAGATGGAGTCTTACTCTGTCACCCAGGCTGGAGTGCAGTGGTGCAATCTCAGCTCACTGCAACCTCCGTCTCCCGGGTTCAAGCAATTCTCCCACCTCAGCCTCCCGAGTAGCTGGGACTACAGGTGCCCACCACCACGCTGGGCTAATTTTTGTATTTTTAGTGGAGATGGGTTGTCACCATGTTGGCCAGGCTGGTCTCAAACTCCTGACCTCAAGCGATCCACCCACCTTGGCTTCCCAAGGTGCTGGGATTACAGGTGTGAGCCACTCCACCTGGCCTGCTTATTCTTTCCAAGTGTGGAAATAGGAGAGATAATATTGAAACCCTTAACACAATCTTAGTCACATCATGCACGATGGATAAATGTTCCTTTTACCCTTGGCTTCTGTGGGTTCATCAGCCATATGGTATAATTTGGAAGGTAAAACATGGATATCAAACCCTATACTAGAATGTCTGGCATATGTCAGTAGCACCTAGAATATTTTGTTTGCCTCTCTCATGTGGATAATTAAGTGTTCCAGTTTTCAATACAGAGTATAAGGCCTCTTCAGCATAATCTCTCCAATAATTAAATGGCAACTTGAAATATGTAATAAAAGAGTTTTCTAAATTACTATGATTTGATTTTGACCTAAAGGAAGTAATGTAAGAAAAAAGAAAAAACATTTTAACCACAAAGCTGAACATGAAACAGGCTGCGGAGGCAGCTTTTTGTGGGCGTGGGAAATGAGCATGGGGGAAGTGAAATGTATCAGGTCATAGGTACTATTCTACCTATTACAGCACCCAAGAGAATTTAAAATGTATATTGACACAAAAAACCTGTACAACTCTTCATAGCAGAGTTATCCATAGTAGCAAATAGGTGGAAACAGTCTATGTCTGTATTAGTCCGGGTTCTCTAGAGGGACAGGACTAATAGGATAAATGTATATATGAAATGGAGTTTATTAAGGAGAATTGACTCATACGATCACAAGGTGAAGTGTCACGATAGGCCGTCTGCAAGGTGAGGAGCAAGGAAGCCAGTGGTGGATCAGTCTGAGTCCCAAAACCTCAAAAGTAGGGAAGCCGACAGTGCAGCCTTCAGTCTGTGGCCAAAGGCCCGACAGCCCCTGGCAAACCCTGGTGTAAGTCCAAGAGTCCAAAAGCTGAAGAACTTGGAGTCTGACCTTTGAGGACAGGAAGCATCCAGCACAGGAGACAGATGAAGGCCAGAAGACTCAGCAAGTCCAGTCCTTCCAACTTCTGTCTGCTTTATTCTGGCCACACTGGCAGTGATTAGATGGTGCCCACCTAGACTGAGGGTTGGTCTGCTTCTCCCAGTCCATTGACTCAAATGCTGATCTCCTTTGGCAACACCCTCACAGACACACCAGGATCAATATTTTGCATCCTTCAATCCAATCAAGTTGACACTCAATATTAACCAACACAATGTCTGTCAGCTGACAGAGGGATACTCATTAGTTATTTTTCCTGATCCTCTCACTCCTCCCACCCTCCACCCTCTGATGGAACCCAGTTTGTGTTGTTCAACCCAGGAACAATACTTTGCATCCTTCAATCCAATCAAGTTAACACTCAATATTAAGTAAGTAAATATTGAGTATTTAAATAAAAGAAGCCAGTCAAAAAAGGCCATATGTTGTACAATTTTATTTCTATGCACTGTTTAGGCCACTGAACTGATAGGGGAAAGATATTAGTGGTAGCCAAGTATTGAGGGGAAGGAGATCCTGGATAGTGACTACTACTGAATATGGGGTTTTATTGGAGGGGGAATGAAAATGTCCTGAAATTAGTGATGATGGTTGCATGACTCTGAATATACTAAAAACCACTAAATTATACACTTTATGTTATGTAGATTGTATCTGTTATTTAAGAAAATATGGCCCGGGTGCAGTGACTCACGCCTGTAATCCCAGCACTTTGGGAGGCCAAGGCGGGTGGATCACCTAAGGTCGGGAGTTCAAGACCAGCCTGACTAACATGGAGAAACCCTGTCTCTACTAAAAAAAAAAAAAAAAAAAAAAAAAAAGTTATCTGGGCGTGGTGGCACATGCCTGTAATGCCAGCTACTCTGGAGACTGAAGCAGGCGAATCGCTTGAATCCAGGAGGCAGAGGTTGTGGTGAGCCAAGAATGCGCCATTGCACCATTGCACTCTAGCCTGGGCAACAAGAGTGAAACTCCATCTCAAAAAAAAAAAAATATGAAAACTTTGAGAGAACTTGCAGACTAAATTCTGATTGAATACCCCAGACAACACATTCTCAGAGAACCACTGAAAATGCTCATTAAAGATTCATTTTTCATCAGTCTATTGAGATTTGTCATTTGTAGTTTGTTTCTTGAGTCAAGGAGAGACCATGTTGCAGAATTCAAGAACATATATTTTTTAAGTCAAGCAAGCCTCAGTTCAAATTCCAGCTCAGCTCTTACTAACCAAGTACCTCTGGGCAAGTTATTTTGCATTTGCAGTCTGTTTCCTCATTCTAATGTGAAAATAACTGTAAAAAGAAAAGAAAAAAAAAACCTCCTTCATGAAGGTGTTGTGAGGATTAAGTAAAAACATATTTGGAACATATGCTCTCATTAGGGATGACACTGTACTGCCCCCAACAGGGTGAAAATTGGCTCTTGGAGGGGGCAAAAATTTCTGTTATTATGTGTTTTGTCCCTCCAAAACTAGCCCCACTGACAAAGTCTTATTCCTTAGTATTTAATGTGATGAAGTTGGAGAAACAATTAGGAAAAAATTATCTAAAAAGACTCCTTAGGGAGGCGATTTTTTAAAAAAGGTTGTAGCGCTTCTTTCCTCATTAGTTGATTGGCTCAATAGAAACCCTTAAAATCACTATTTTTCATCACAGCGGTGTTTTCTTCTTTGTTCTTAAGTTGAAACAAATCTCTGTCCAAAGTTACTAGCTGCTGGCCTGTTTGAGGAATAAAGAGCATTCTGCCAGCAACCCAAATCCTGTATTTCCAGCAAAGTGACATTTGACTCAAAAAGGGGTCAAAGCAACAAAGAAAGCAAATCCATATAATTTGTATGGCTCTTCTAATTTTCTATCAGGTCCGTGAGCCCTCTGGTTTCTTCAGCTGAAAGGTTCACTGTGCCACGTCTGTGGCCCCTAAACTGCCCTGCCCCAGCTTGAACTGGCCCAGGTAAGTGACTGCTGAGGGAGATACTATTCAGCCTGATTGCAACATGGAGCCTGGACCTGAAGCAGAAGCAGGTGTGCTTGTGACATGAGAGGGGGGCACGGAAGTGCTAAATAGAGAAGGGCGGGGTCCCTGGCGAGAGCTCCACCTGGGGCCTGGGCCCGCAGACCTAAGTGAGGCCAGGCACTCCTGTTTCCACACCCAAATATTGCATCTTCCAAGACCACTCCGGCCTGCCATGTCCCCATCCTGTGCCTATAGAAATCCCGAGATCCTAGCGGGCACACACACACAGGCGCTGGACGTTGAGAGGAGCAGAGGAGTGGAAGAGCACACCGACAGGCACCAGCAGACTCTGGCAGGTCATCGATGGCAGGAGGGCATGGAATTCAGCCAGGGGCGGTTAGAGGAGTGTCCAGCCACTAGGCGGCCCAACTCCAGGGAAGACCCCTTTCCAACACCATCCCCCTTCTGGCCTCCCCATGTACCCTTGCGAGCTACCTCCGCTCAATAAGACCTTGCACTCATTCTCCAAGCCCACATGTGATCTGATTTTTCCGGTACACTAGGGCAAGAACCTGGGATACAGAAAGCCCTCTGTCCTTGCGATTAGGCAGAGGGTCTAATTGAGCTGATGAACGCAAGCCACCTGCAGACGGCTAAGCTGAAAGAGCACACATGCCCACTGGGGCTTCGGGAGCTGTAAACACTCAATCCTAGACGCTGCCATGGGGTTCCAGCCCAAAGACTCTCCCCATGACCTGCCCGTCTGTATGCTTCCCCTACAGATTTGAGCAGCTGGGCACCAAAGAAGGGAGCCACACCTCCTATGGTATGCCCTATGAGTGGAATAAGGGAAAACTCCTCCCGTTTCACTTAGTGCCCTAATTTCCCTTCCTGCTGCCTCTGTCCATATTCAGGGTCTTCAGGGCACTAGCTCTTTCCCACCAGTCTCCCAATTAGCCTTTATTCCTAGCTCAGCAAAGTTTATGCTTAGGATGGTAAATTCTAAGGATGGAATACATGCATCAAACACTAAGAAAGTGAAGCCTGTTGGCAGGGATTGGATTCTTATCTAGTTAAGTATTCACTTGTGTAAATCCAAACCTCATGGACATTTTCAGAATCAACATCTTTTTTTTTTTTTTTTCTGAGATGTAGTTTTGCTCTTGTTGCCCAGGCTGGAGTGCAATGGTAAATCTTGGTTCACAGCAACCTCCGCCCCCCAAGTTCAAGCTATTTTCATGCCTCAGCCTCCCAAGTAGCTGGGATTACAGGCATACGCCACCATGTCCAGCTAATTTTTGTTTTTTTTAGTAGATACAGGGTTTTACTATGTTGGTCAGGCTGGTCTCGAACTCCTGACCACAGGTGATCCACCCATCTCAGCCAGAATAAAAATCTTAATGATCACTAATCAATTCATTGCCTTAACAACTTACCTCCAAGAACAACATAAATTTGCTTTAAACATGGACTGTGGTAAAGATGTTTGCATCTTCTAATTAAGCTGTGTTTCATTCAGCAAATCTGTTTTGAGCCGTAGCTGCGTGTCAGCTTTATTCCAGGCACTAGGGATACAGAGATGTCAAGGACAAGACAAATACGTCATTGGCTTTATGGGACTTACATTTCAGTGTGTTGTGGGGTAGGGCTATGTGGGTGTGGGTGTGTGATTTGCACTCTCAGCTATGCCCTAGTTATTCTTACTGCTTCAGGAAAAGGACCGCACATTTTATGGAATAAATAACAATAAAATATGTCAATTATGGAGTGTATATCAAGTGCAATGATCTATGCTAGTTGCTTTCAATCTGTTATTTTATTAATTATTGTAACAATTCAAATCTTTGGCATAAATTTTGTATCATTAACACATTAGACAACAGTCGCCGAAATGTTCACTAAACTTCCCAAGGTCAGCACCAAGTGAGTGGCTGAGTGAGATGGTGAATGATCAGCTCTGTCCCACTTCCATGAACCTCTGAACAATGGACACGTGAAGTTTCTGTGGGACTTGAAGAAACAAAGTGAGTGAAAACGAGTTTCACCTCTTTCACAATCCAACACGCCACCCCCAACTCCCCGCCACTGACAACCAGAGGCTGGCAATTTTTGAGTTGGGCATTTTCTCAACAGTTGAGCAGGAGTGTGATATTCCCAGAGAGATGGAATTGGGGGCTGTGCACACCGCAGCTGCGGGCCCCAGGAAGGACAGATGGTCCATGCCGTACGCTGTCTGCTTGTACAGCTCAGCAAATACATTTTCCTTGACTTTAATTGCACCCGGCAGACAGGGACAAATACATTTGCTTTGCTTTTAACAATACTTTGGTGGTATCTGGAGCATGCATGAGCATGGCAGTTAAATGTTCCTCTATTCGCTGCTCTGAAAAGGGAGCCTACGGCTTGGTTGCTTTCTCAGTCTCTTCTCTCTCTCTCCCCCTTCATATATATATATATAAAATATATATATATTATATATATAAAATATATATATATTATATATATAAAATATATATATTATATATATAAAATATATATATTATATATATAAAATATATATATATTATATATAAAATATATATATTATATATATATAAAATATATATATAATATATATATAAAATATATATAATATATATATAAATATATATATTATATATATAAAATATATAAATATATATATATTATATATATAAAATATATATAATATATATAAAATATATATATATTATATATATAAAATATATATATATTATATATATAACATATATATGTGTGCACATCCTGGTGTATATAATTTAGCTTCTCTTCCTCTCTGAGATTGGTAATTTTTTTATTTTTCTAATTTTTATTCTGGTATAATTAAAATGTAGCAGATATTACATTTAAGAGTTCCATGTGCTTTGCAGATGTCCATCTAATCACCACCAAAACAACATGTAAAGCATTTCCATGACCCCAGGGAATTTCTCCATCACCCTTTCTGGCCAATTCTTCTCAACTCCTAAAAGCAACCACTTTTTGATTTCCATCATCATAAATAGCTTTTGCTCTTGGAATTCAATATAAATAGAATCATACAACTTTGTGTCTGGCTTTCTTGGGTCCGTAAAATATTTTTGAGATTCACCACCGATGGTGCTTAAATTGATAGTTCATTCCCTTTATTGGCTGTGATATATTTCAGTGTATAAATAGTCAACATTTTAAATCTATTTTCCTGTTAATGGGCATTTGGGTTGTTTTCTGTTTGGGGCTCTTTTGACGAAAACTACAACACACATTTGTATACAAGTGATACTTGAGGACACTCATTTTTCATGAATTTATTGAGAAGCAATTGACACAATACAATGAAATATTTCAGATGTATAATTAGACCAAATTTGACAAATAAAACCATCACGACAATCCAAATAATGAACTTATCCACCACTCCACCCAAAGTTTCCTGTGGTTCCTTGCAGTCTCCATCTCCCTGTTTTGACCTGCACCATCCACAGTCAACCACTGAATGGCTTTGTGCCACCATAGATTCACGTAAATATTCTGGAATATAAAAAGGAATCATAGGCCGGTTGTGGTGGCTCACTCCTGTAATCTCAGCATTTTGGGAGGGCAAGGCAGGCAGATTGCTTGAGCTCAGGAGGTCAAGACCAGCCCGGGCAACATGACGAAACCTCATCTCTACAAAAAATTCAAAAATTAGCTGGGTGTGGTCACTCATGCCTGTGGTCCCAGCTACTCAGGAGGCTGAGGTGGGAGGATCATTTGAGCCCAGGAGGTCGAGGATACAGTGAGCTGAGATCACATCACTGCACTCCAGCCTTAGTGACACAGCTAGACCCTGTCTCCAAAAAAGGGGGGCAGAGGGTGAATTATAGACTATTGTTTTATCAGCCTTCTTTTATTGAGCCTGATAATGTTGAGACTTAAAAAGGTTATTGTGTCCATAAATTGTTCTTTCTTTTTCCTTGTGAAGCAGTATTCTACTGTGGGATTATAATGTTTCTGTTTTTCTTTTTAAAACTTTTTAAACTTTTTTTGCTAAGGAAATGCTGGTGTTATTTTTACTTCAAAGATAATCACAATGAACACAAACATTTTAGCGGATGATGTTGGAAAGCCTGCCTGGAGAAAGACCAGCAGCGCAGGCTTCATTTTAATCACCAAATACATCAATATTGGCAAAAGAAAGCTTTTAGATTGCTAAATTATTCTTCCTTGCATTGTCAACTGGAAGCTAGGGTTCTTTCTGGTGAGTCAAATGAATAGTATCACCATTATCATCCTCATTGATCCTCACCCATGATGTGGGCCGTGATGAAGCCAAGCTCAAGGGGCAGCTAGCATTCAGTATCGGAGGAGCAGAGGCCCCGCAGCTGGAATCATTTCAGGATCTGAGACATGCTCAATAGGTGAAGCCTCAGACAAATGCTGGGGTCAGGAGAGGAGACGCCAGGAGACTAGTGGGTTGAATGCAGAGTTGGAGTTGTGGTGTGAAGATAGTCAGAGGATATGTGTGTCTGTGTCTGTGTGTATGTGAGAGAGAGCGTGTGTTTGTCTTAGGAAGCGTGTGCTCCTTTGCCTTGTATATGATCTTACCTGGCTCCGTGATATTCCTACAAAGCCTTTTGCAGGAACTGCATTTGTCTCACACCTCACAGGCTGCAAGGCCTTATCCCAGGTGAAATTTAATTTGACACTGTAAAGACTTAAAAAGAGCTATGATTGTTAGCACCATTTTTACAGATGAGAAAACTAAGAAATATGGGAAGATATTAATAAAAGT